>NC_000001.11:242547757-242699273 GCF_000001405.40 Homo sapiens | reverse complement strand
TCAAAAAGAAAATACACATTTACCATATAGCAAATGTGATAAAGTAGAAAAAGTCCTGTATTTGGAATCTGGACCTGATTCACCATTTACAGTGTGTAACTGAAACATTCTTCTGAACTTCTTGCTAACTGGAACCTCCAATAACACCATTTTGCCTATGGTTTTCTCCACTGGAGGCTGTTTTTATTTTAATACCTTAAACATTTTTCTAAGTTTTAGTCCTCCTGTGATGGTTAATATTGAGTGTCAACTTGATTGGATTGAAGGATGCAAAGTCTTATTCCTGGGTGCGTCTGTGAGGGTGTTGCCAAAGGAGATTAACATTTGAGTCAGTGGACTGGGAGAGGTAGGCCCACCCTCAATCTGGGTGGGCACCATCTAATCAGCTGCCAGTGTGGCTAGAATAAAGCAGGCAGAGGGACACGGAAGGACTAGACTTGCTGAGTCTTCTGGCCTCCATCTTTCTCCCGTGCTGGGTGCCTCCTGCCCTCAAACATCAGACTCAAATTCTTCAGCTTTTGGACTCTTGGACTTAGCTAGTTTGCCAGGGGCTCTGGGGCCTTTGGCCACAGACTGAAGGGTGCACTGTCAGCTTCCCTACTTTTGAGGTTTTGGGACTTGGACTGGCTTCCTTGCTCCTCAGCTTGCAGATGGCCTACTGTGGGACTTTACCTTGAGATCGTGCAAGTCAATACTCCTTAATAGACTCCCCTTCATATATACATCTATCCTGTTAGTCCTGTTCCTCTAGAGAACCCGGACTAATACACCTCCTTTCTCCAAAACTCTCAGTTCTCTTGTGACTCATGCAGCCTCTTGTTAAGATCATCTTCTGACTTCCTGGTCATTCTTTCTCATCTGAAGAGGATGACTTGAGCTCTTGGCTCACAGTGACCCTCTCCATCCCTATGTCTGCTGTCAGTCCTGGTGAATTTGACACCCACACAGGGTGACTCCAGTCTACCAGCCCCTTGATTTTCCCACCTCCATTGACTTTTTTCTCTCCATTTCCCAACTCAGCACCTACTCCCTCGGACTGTGTCATCATCGTTAAGTGCACTAACTCTGTCCTGAGCATCCCATTTTCTGAGGCTTCCCCCTCTTTGTCCAGCACAGTACTTTGTAATTCCTTCTGCAACAATTGTTTCACCCCACTGAGCTCATGCTTCCAACCCCTTCTCTGTTTTTCACCCGCCCATCTCTCCTTTTCTGTACTTTCCTCTTTACTTCACTTACATTCTTCAGCCTCCTGCGTAGCTGGGATTACAGGCACCCACCATCACGCCTGGCTAATTTTTGTATTCTTAGTAAAAATGGGGTTTCACCTTGTTGGCCAGGCTGGTCTTGAACTCCCGACCTCAGGTAATCCACCTGCCTCAGCCTCCCAAAGTGGTGGGATTACAGGCGTCAGTCACCGAGCCCAGCCAGAAGATGTTTAAACTATCTTTCTACCACTAATTATAAAAGATATTCACTCATATATACATCTTTATATCTCCTCCTGATACTGTAGAAGAAGAGACTTCCTCTTGGATTCTGGAAGTTATCCCTGATTGCCTTCAAAGGGTCTTTGGTCAGTGATTCCAAATGTCTCTGCATCAACCAGTCCTTGTACTGGATCATCTCTTTTAGGATATAAATACCAGCCAGTAATCTTGTGGTTTCATATCATTTTTCCCTGCTGACCTTCTGAACAGAACTTCCTGAGATGGTTGACTAGACTATGAGTCTCCATCTGTTTACTTCCTATTCTTTCTTCAACTCATTCCAGTCTCATTTCTGTCCCCACTACTCAACTAAAATTGTGCTTTGGAAAGTTTCCAGTGATTCTCATGTTGCTGAATCCAGTGGGCACCTTATCTACCCACCCCCCTCAGCAGTATTTTACATAGTTAAGCATTTGCTTATTTTTGAAAAACTATTTTGGTTTTGAGCCACCACACTCTCTTAATTTTCTTCTTGCCGTTTTGGCTGAATCTGTCTTTCATGCTGACTCTGCCTCCTCTACCTGACCTCTAACTACTGGATCCTCTCACAGCTCAATCCTGGATAGTCTTGGCTACCTATACTTTCTCTCTAGACCCAGTGCTTTAAAAACCACCTACGAGGCATGATTCCCAAATTGAAGTTCTGTCCCTAATTTCTGTCCAAAGCTCCAGACTCATGTGTCTAACTGCCTACGTGGTATCAGCATTTGGATGTTTAGTAGGCATCTCAAACTCTTCTGTCTAAAGCTCCAGACTCACATGTCTAACTGCCTACATGGTGTCAGCATTTGGATGTTTAGTAGGCATCTCAAACTCTTCTGTCCAAAGCTCCAGACTCACATGTCTAACTGCCTACGTGATATCAGCATTTGGATGTTTAGTGGGCATCTCAAACTTACTATTTCCAAAACAGAGTAATTGATTCAGCCTGGCCTCCACCAACTTGTATTCCCTCTTCCCCCACCTATTTTCCCCGATCTCACCAAATGTCACTATTACCTAACCAATGGCTCAAGCCCTAAACATACCAACAGACGGAATTATCCTTTATTTCTCCCTTTTCCTTACTTCTCACATTCGATTCATCACCTATGACTATCTAACATTCTCTAGATCTTACTTATTGATCTCAAGAGGTTTTGGTTTTGTGCCTTGCTTGAAGAGTGTCTAATGTAGCGACATGTAATAAAAATTTGTTGTGTGAACATCCCAAGTCGTATCACCTGCTCTTCAGCATGTCATAGCCTGAAGGCTGTAAGATTTGATCATGTTTGTACACTCAAGGTAAAGAACCAGGAAAACAACAGGTACAATGATATTTCTGTTTAATTTCAAAATTATTGATGTCTTAATAGCATTTTTTCCCCTCATTTTTCCTTTTATGAAAGAAATGGAGCAAGGAGCTAACGAGGGTAGTAAACAAGGAAAAAAGCCCGTAACACGATAGCTTAGTTTTTTTCCAAAGACCTCTTAAGTATTATGGAGCTGTAGCTCTAATGCCTCTATTATAGATAAGTAATCAAGGTTCAGAGGGATTAAGTAATTTTCCAAGGTCACAACTAGTTAGTGGTACAACCAAGATGACAACCAGATTTTGTTTTTAATTTCTGGACTGCAGTGTTGACATGTGGAGTCATTCATATGTCCTGGACTGCAGAACCTGGCCTGCGTCTTTTTTCTCGACACATCTAATCAGGTGAATTTGTACAGAATGTGTTGTCATGTTGTCACTTTGTAAATGACTGTTGATTCTTAGAATCCATTCCTAGAGAAAGAATCAATCTACATGTGAAGGGCCATACATGTGTGAAAGAATTTGACTTCATGGTAGGTAGAGATTCAAGAGAGGGAGTTTTCGGATTAACAACATGCTTCAGAGACTTGCCGAGGATTAACAAGCATGTGATTGAGCCGTGGGAGCTTCTGGAAATAAAGTCATTTAAGACATTTCCCTCTTGGGTTTGACAGTGGCTCATATATACTTTAGGGGAGTAAAACATAAATGTCTTCTTGATTCATCCATTTGTAGTCACTGTATATTTGTATCAGAATTTTATTCAAAAATCAGATTTTAGTAAAAATGAATGCATTTTGAAAAATGAAGGATTCTGTATAGGCATTCAATTCCAAATTTATGAATCTGGAAGCAGAATTTTAAAATACTGGTGATCTCTCCTGTCCTTTCGATATGAACCCCTAGAGTAGGAGAGGTTGTTGAAAACTGTTCTATTGGAAGGAATCCAAGAGCCTATTGATTGGGTCTCACTTTTTATGTATCAGAATCTTTAGTTTAAAACTGCAAGGAAACAAATAAGTGGACATATAGCCAAAGCTTCCATCTTAATAAAAATGGACAGAAGCAAAAATTTGTTTTATATTTTTTATATATTTGTTATATATAATTATATATAATTACATATAATTATATAATATATATTATATAATATAATATACATAATAATTATGTATATAATTGTATAATTATATATAATTATGTATATAATTGTATAATTAATATATAATTATGTATATTATATATATAATTATGTATATAATTGTATAATTGTATATAATTATGTGTATAATTGTATATAATTATATATAATTGTACAATTACATATAATTATATATAATTATGTATAAATAATTATATAATATATTATATATTATTTATTTATTATATCTATAATATATAATATAATATATATTTTATATATAATATATAAATAATATATATTTTATATATAATATATAATATATATTTTATATAATATATAAAAAACTATTTAATATAACAAATTGACAGTGGAGACTTAAAGTTTGCTAGAGTTTTCTAGCAGTAATCTATCATTTGTATAGAAAGTCTTGACTACATACTGATGGCTGGGCTTAGGAAGAGACCAGATGAGACATGAAAAAGATGCTTGTTCTGTGGTGGTCAGCAAGTCAACAACGTGTCAAGATCACCCATCGTGTTATTAATAGTATGGAGACATTCTTTTCCTCTGGAAAAATTTGTATTTCAGCATAACTTTCACTTTTCCTAGAAAAAGGTTTCTGGTCCTTTTAGCCTAGAGCCTTTTTGAAGCTCGTGCTTCCCATAGAATTTTGTCTTTATCTCTTCAAACTGCTTGTCATACTATATTGAAATTATTTATTGTCTTTCCTGACATGCCTATTGAGGGTAAATATTGACTCTTATTGTGTATCATGTCTTCAGCATTGTATGTAATAAGTATTCAGGCTGGGCACGGTGGCTCACACCTGTAATTCCAGCACTTTGGGAGGCCGAGGTGGGTGGATCACCTGGGGTCAGGAGCTCGAGACTAGCCTGGCCAACATGGCAAAACCCCTTCTCTACTAAAAATACAAAAATTAGCCGGGCATGGTGGTGGGCATCTGTAATCCCAGCTACTTGGGAGGCTGAGGCAGGAGAATCGCTTGAACCTGGGAGGCAGAGGTTGCAGTGAGCCGAGATCTCACCACTGTACTCCAGCCTGGGTGACAAGAGTGAAACTCCATCTCAAAATAATAATAAGTTTTCAAAAATATATGTGGATGAAATGAATGAATGGGATATATATATATGTGTGTGTATATACATATACATGCATGCATAGACATAGACACACACGTATCAAGAACACGCAATACTGAGAGAGGAACGCAATGGTGGCTAGAGAAACAAGGCATGATTGGGGAGTGCCGACGAAGGTGTTAATAGTGATGTCTGGGTGGTCTAGGAAGGTTGGGGAAAGGAAGCGGGGCTCTTGCTGGTCCTTGAGAGATGAGTGGCAGGATTTTGATAATGATTAGGCAAAAGGAGAAAAGCACCAGGCTAGGGACAGAAATGGGATAAAAGTCAACCCCAAAGCTTAGTCCTTGGTTGTAGCGATTGGGTCATATCTTAGGAATATTAACCTTTACTCTAATCTTCCTTCTGATCTTCCCTGTTTTGTCTCATCTATGCAAAACAAACATCACAGACTCTCTCTTGAACTTTTCCAGAAGGCTTTCTTTCTCAGGCCATCACAACCATACTCTTCTGCTGCAAGCGTGCTATCCTATCTGTGGATTTTGCCCAAAATAGGATTTTATTCATCTCATCACCTCAGTGGCATCATCTCATTTTGAAGCAATTTAAAATGTTTTCTCCATCTACACTAGTTGGATTTTCTTTGCTCTGTTACCCACTTCCAGTAATTGCATTCCTCAAAGAAAAGACAACCTGACAGCATAGAAAAATGCTAGGAATTAAAACTTCATCATCACTGGAGTCCTTCTATCTCTTCATGTTACTGAGTAGAGAGAGAAGATATCTCAAAATAAATGCCTGATACTAAATAACTGCACTGGTAGCTTCACTGCCACCCTGGAAGATATGAAAGAGATAGAATGCCTCTATGAGTTTTCTATGCCACACCTGGTGGCTGCCTGCCTCACCAGTGGGAAGTGGAAAATGAAATCTTGGCAAGGGACCTGGTTTTCAGTGAAAAGCGTTATTGTCTACAGCCCTGAGATAGAGCAGGAGAAGTTGGTGGAGAGAGGGTTTGGAGTGAATGGTCATATGGAAGAAGTGAATGAGATCCCGTTTCCTGCATTATGAGAAACTCTTAACCTCTTAGGGAGATGAGTCAGTGTAATAAATCAGGATGGAATCCTAAGCTGTTAGTTGCCAGGGCTATATTTCAGAATGTATTAATTAGTGCACTCTTATTTATTCTCCCTTCCTATAGGCTAAGCTTAATATAGTTGTAACTCCATGAATGAGACTGTATTCTTGCTATTTTTTAAGCATCAGCAAGTTGAGGAGGAAATGCAGAGGAAGACCTGAATATGTTCTGTTTCTGCTCCTCCATCACAGCCAGGGTTCCAGAAGGAGCTGAAAATCAAGAAAGTTTGGCAATAAGCTAAAATCAAATCTGACTTCGGATCACGAGGTCAGGAGATCGAGACCATCCTGGCTAACACGGTGAAACCTCATCTCTACTAAAAATACAAAAAATTAGCCAGGCGTGGTGGCGGGCACCTGTAGTCCCAGCTACTCGGGAGGCTGAGGCAGGAGGGAGAATGGCGTGAACCCGGGAGGTGGAGCTTGCGGTGAGCTGAGATGGTGCCACTGCACTCTAGCCTGGGCGACAGAGTGAAACTCCATCTCACACACACACACAAAAAAAAAAAAAAAAAAAAAAAGAGAAAAAGAAAAAGAAAAGAAACTAAGGTCTAATACAAATCACATGAGGCTGTTACTTAGATTGCATTTACTCGGCAGCCCAACTATTCAAAATCTGAAATAAGATTTATTGACACAAACCCAGTTTTTGTATGAGAGCCAACATATCTTGGCAATTAGGTTCAAAGGAAGCAAATACACTTTGAAATTTTTTTGCAAAAGTGATATCTCATTTATTAATGCATTGATTTAAGCCAAAATGTAAATAATTCTAAGTGTATGTGGCTTGAGGTAAAGAAAATTTTTCTATTTTAAAATTTCCATTAATTCAGTAATGTGTTCCTTTTATTGTTCTTGTTTGGTGCTTACCCTTTGTCCATGAGTCTGTTCTTAGGGTGTGTGTGTGTGTGTGTTTGTGTGTGTGTGTGTGTCTAAACAGAGCAGAAATGACTTGCCGGTGGGGAAATGAGCAGGCCTATAGCATTCAGCAGGCATGTGAAGAAATGAACACCTGGGTACTCACTTTGAATCCACTGATCTTGACCTTGAACTTGGCCTGCCCCTCCAGGACCCTATTCACTTTCACGTTACCCCTTGCAGGTAGCTACCAGGTTCGTGCCAAATAATGTCACTCTTTGCCCAGCTAAGGTGTTTATGGCAGGTGGATTGCGCCTGAAGATGTCCTATTGCTGTGGTCCAGTGAGTATAAATTAATGAGTGATGCTGCTCACAGGTGCACCTGGAGGCCCTCCTGCCTGATGAACCCCTAAGCTTGGCATTTTTTTCTGAGGCAGAGTGTGTCCAGATGGCAGCTTCTGAAGAACCAAGCCCAGCACCTGAATCAGCTCTGTTTTTTTTGCTCAAAATGCTTGGTGCCAGGGCCTCTCTGTCAGATGCTAAGACAAGGGAGCTCAGCAACTGCTGGCTGTCAGCCCTACCTGCAGGTCCAGCCTGCTGGGCTTCGTGCTGGGACACAAAAGAGAACAAAAAGAGAACTGGGCTTTTGGTAACTCCAGGGAAAATATTCTGCTGGCCTCAGGCTTGGGAGAAGATTTACAGGCTATTTTAAGGGGTTCAACGGAGCCCATAGAGTCTGCATTGAATAACTGGACCCACAGCTGTTATTTCTGAATAAGCTTTCAGTTTCATAATTACATCCCCCTCACACTGGGCTCTGAGAATACCCTCAGTTGGGTCTGAACAGATTGAAGTGCTTTAGCTACCACAGAAGTGGGAAGCTTAACCCCACTGGTGAATACAGACGAATGGATCCCATCATTCACTCAGCAAGGACACTGAGCACGGCTGCGTGCCAGGCTCTGTGCTCTGGGATCCTCCAGGACTGTGCTGACAACAGAGAAGTTGTAGAATTATGAAACAAGACAGCCTGTGCTTTGACTAGGTAAACAGCGGGACTGTCTCAGGAAGTTCAGAGGAAGGGCCTTTAGTCTAAGATGGCCTTGAAACAAGCCTTCCCAAAAGACAAGACCTGTGCACTATGGCTGGAAGAAGATAAGAGCCAAGTGGAGGGGAGAGAGAGAGCAGAGGGATGACGCCGTGCACATGCTCAGAGCTAGAAGGCTTTGACTCGGAAGGCAAACCTAAGCTTGCCTTGTGCTGAGAGTATACTTCTTCCTTTCCCTCATTCCATTACCCCTGAAGGCTGCTGACATGCATTTACAGTGTCAGAGACATGTAGTGGGTTAGTTGTAGGGGTACAGTTTTGCCAATAAGGCAGAGTCTCTTTAGTCTTGTGATTCTATTGCAACCTTGAGTATTTCTGCATCTCAGACATAAATGCTACAAATACTTTTCTGTGCCAGGTAACTCTCCGGGTCCAGGGAACTCAGAACAAAGTCTTGGGCTATTAGATATTCCTGGTTTGGGTGAAAATGTGTCTGGAATTGGTAGGTTCTTGGTCTCATTGACTTCAAGAATGAAGCTGCGGCCCCTTGTGGTGAGTGTTACAGTTCTTAAAGGCGGTGTGTCTGGAGTTTGTTCCTTCAGATGTTCGGATGTGTTCGGAGTTTCTTCCTTCTGGTGGGTTCGTGGTCTCGCTGGCCTCAGGAGTGAAGCTGCAGACCTTCGCAGTGAGTGTTACAGCTCATAAAGGCATTGCGGACCCAAAGAGTGAGCAGCAGCAAGATTTACTGCAAAGAGCGAAAGAACAAAGCTTCCACAGAGTGGAAGCGGACCCGAGCAAATTGCCACTGCTGGCTCGGGCAACATGTTTTTATTCCGTTATCTGGCCCCACCCACATCCTGCTGATTGGTCCATTTTACAGAGAGCTGATTGGTCTGTTTTGACAGGGTGCTGATTGGTGCATTTACAATCCCTGAGCTAGACATAAAGGTTCTCCAAGTCCCTACTAGATTAGCTAGACACAGAACACTGATTGGTTCATTTACAAACCTTGAACTAGACACAGAGTTCTGATTGGTGTATTTACAATTCTTTAGCTAGACATAAAGGTTCTTCAAGTCCCCACTAGACTAGCTAGATGCAGAGGGCTGATTGGTGCATTTACACACCTTGAGCTAGACACAGAGTGCTGATTGGTGTATTTACAATCCCTTAGCTAGACATAAAGGTTCTCCAAGTCCCCACTAGATTAGCTGGATACAGAGTGCTGATTGGTGCATTTACAAACCTTGAGCTAGACACAGAGTGCTGATTGGTGTATTTACAATCCCTTAGCTAGACGTCAAGATTCTCCAAGTCTCTACTAGCCTCAGGAGTCCAGCTGGCTTCACCTAGTGGATCCTGCCCCGGGGCCACAGGCGGAGCTGCCCACCAGTCCTGCGGCATGCACCTGCACTCCTCAGCCCTTGGGCCCTCGATGGGACCAGGCGCTGTGGAGCAGGGGGTGGTGCTCGTCCGGCTGTGCAGGAGTCCACGGCAGGGGTGAGGCTCAGGCATGGCGGGCTGCAGGTCCTGAGCCCTGCCCTGCAGGGAGGCAGCTGAGACCCAGTGAGAATTCAAGCACAGTGCCGGTGGGCCAGCACTGCTGGGGGACCCTGCGCACCCTCCACAGCTGCTGGCCTGGGTGCTAAGCCCCTGACTGCCCGGGGCTGGCGGTGCCGGCTGGCTGCTCAGAGTGTGGGGCCCTCCGAACCCATGCCCACCCAGAACTCACGCTGGCCTGTGAGTGCCGTGGGGCACAGCCCCGGTTCCCGCGTGCACCTCTCCCTCCATGCCTCCCAGCAAGCAGAGGGAGCCAGCTCCAGCCTCAGCCAGCCCAGAGAGGGGCTCCCATAGTGCAGCGGTGGGCTGAAGGGCTCCTCAAGTGCGGCCAGAGTGGGCGCCAAGGCTGAGGAGGCACCCAGAGTAAGCAAGGGCTGCCAACATGCTGTCACCTCTCAAAAATATGAAGAAAATAGTGTTTCTGGAGATCAGAACTTAAATCCTGGCTCTGATAATTACTAGCATTTAATTTCCCAGTGTGCTTCTTACCATCTGTAAAATGGGCTTCATATACTGTGTCTCTCATAAACAGTAATGAGATCAAAATGAAATGATCTATTTCATAGTGCTTTGTAAACCATAAAGAGGCATACAAAAGTGCAATTATTATACCTAATGATGTGAATATATGTAATGCCACAGAGCTGAACACTTAAAAATAATTAAAATGGTAAATTTTATGTTTATATTTTACTACAATAAATTTTTTTTAAGAAGAGTATAATTCTTATTGTCTTTTATAGGGTTGAGCACTGAGTGGGAAAGGAAAAGTGTTCCTACTGAAGTCTCCAAACTTTTGTGATTGCAAACCTCTAATGGTAAAATATATATATATATATATATATATATATATATATGCACATTTATTTCTAAATTATTGATATTACTGTTCTACTGATATGTGATATGCATTATAAAACACTATTGTAAAGGATGAGATAAAGAAAATGAAATATTTAAATATTTAATTTATTGATTACTGATTTTATTTATTATTAATTACATTTTTTTTTGAGACAGTCTCACTCTGTCACCCAGGCTGGAGTGCAGTGGTGCAGTCTTGGCTTACTGCAACCTCCACCTCTTGGGTTCAAGCAATTCTCCTGCCTCAGCCTCCCAAGTATCTGGGACTACAGGCGTGCGCCACCACTCCCTGCTAATTTTTGTATTTTTCGTAGAGATGGGATTTCACCATGTTGGTCAGGCTGGTCTCGAACTCCTGACCTCAAGTGATCTGCCCACCTTGGCTTCCCAAAGTGCTGGGATTACTGGCGTGAACCACTGCACCTGGCCTAATTACACTTTTAAGGAAAGGAATGTGATTTTGGTTAACTATTAACATCTTGTTTAGGACATTTTGTTATACAGCAATCTGAAGATGTTTTGTAAGTTCACTTTATTTCATTGTTCAGTATTAACATTAGGAGAAGGCATCTCACAAATTTCTAGATTCAAATGGGAGCCAAATATTGTTGGATGAATGTACTAAATTGTAATACTCATTTTCAATGAAATTCTCTGATTGAACCTATATTTCTCTTGAAATTATCTTAGTAAATTTCCAACTTCCTGATGTCACTCAGTTGTTCAAACGAACAAATCACAAAGTGTTACATTCCAATATTTTAACAAATGAATTTAAAACTCACTAAATGGCCTCATTTGGAATATTGTTTTAACAAGTCAGAAAATTTGGATTTCAAGTTTGTGTGGAAATGAGAGGCATTGTAATAGACATGCATTGTTTTGGTAATAAAATTTTAACAACGGAAATGTTTTCAAATATTGATTTTTCAAAATTTTTTTTTAAATCCTAGCACAAGTTTTTTCTCTTGAAAATTAGTTTTTCCCTCTCATTTCTCAAAAATCATCTTTATCATGAAGGAACAATTTAACTGCGTTTTTTTGTATAAGTTTTTCTCAGACAACAATTTCAGAACACTAAACTTGTCATTACAAAATGGTCAAATATTTAATATTCTTGGATTTTGGTGGAAGAAAAATATGTCAATTCATATATAAAATGTTAGCAAGGCTTAATTTTGGGTAATTTCTGGATGTTACCTAAATATATAAAAGTTCCATCATTTCTTCCTGTGCTCTAATGAATCGTAAGGGTTGTGCACAGACTATTTTACAGCCACTCCTCTAATAGTTGAGAGAAGTGCAACTTTCCCTACCTGTTGGGAAGCCAGGAAATTTCTACAAATAAGACGGCATGCAATGGCCAGGTTTGGATCCTCTCTTCTTCCTCTGATGAGGAAAGTATGTCACAAAAGATGATGGGTACTCAACCTTCTCTCTCCAGCCTGCGTTTATCTCACTGAACACCCAAACTCCAGTCCACAATGAGGTCATTTCCTTCTTACCGTCTACAACACTTACTCCCATCCTATCTCTTCCCCTTCCCTGCGCCTTGTCCCCCAACCCCCAATTCTACTTAGGTTCTCAAGATCTCAATGCGTTGGAAATACCTTCCCAAACTTTCATTTGCTCTTCACATTCCTTTCTAATTGGGAGCATAAGTCACACAATTTTGTGAGTCTAAGTTTTCTCATCTGTAAAAAGGATCAAACTATATTTCAAAGGCCTCTTCTGTCTTTAAGACTGACTAAAAAGAAGTATAATTAACAAGGAGAAAAACAACAACAAAAAAGAATCTGACTAAATTCTCTGACTCTCCCTGAGCTAAGATGTACCAGTTCGTAATTAACTTGAATGCTTGCGTTAGTTTCTCTATATTCTCAATATAAATATTTAATGCACTGTAAGTTAATGTTATAATTATTTGCTGAAAATATTTACTGAAGAGCATGGGAAACCTATGATCTTCTTTCACTTAGCATTCTCAGCAACTTTCATGCATTCCTAGATTTGGAACAGTTTAATCTGTGTTTCTCGTGCAGCGTAGCATTTCAATAAATTCAAACCCATTATTATTGACCTTGCATATCATTGATTTGACATTTGATATTTATACATTGAAATTGCAATTATTGGAATGCATAGAACTATCACAGCTGCTAACATGAATTCTCCTTAGGTTCTGGCAGGAGAAGAATTTAATAGCAGTAGCAAAGTATGATAATAACAATGTCAATAATAACAATTTGCCTTGGCTTAGATTCATACACTTTGGAGTAGAAGTGGGTGCATTCATTGTAGATGTGATTAGTTGTATTGGTAGAAAATGAAGTGTGCTTCTGGGAAGCATAACAAAAAAATAACAAATATTTATTGGGTATCTACTGCAAGACACCAAACTAGCAAATGTTTCTTATATCAGGTTAGGTACTTGGAGTATTCCATTAATGTTTCAGTAGAGATACAGTTAATCTACAATATAAGTTTCAGTATGAACCTGAAGAGCCAAGCCTCTCTAGGGAGACTTGAACTTCTGCAGGTGAAATTTTGCATCCAACTTTCTAAATGGTCTTCCAAGACCATGACAATTCAGGATCAGGTCAAAGGACTCTGTCTGCTTTGTCTGGAATTAAATCAGAAGATGATATACCTCCTTGGAAGTGCCATGAATTGGATGTGATCAGACTTAACCACCTTCTTTTGTTTCAGCGTGGAAATCCCTGCATCCAGGGGAACTCCTCTACCTCTGACAAATCGAAATGCTCAGTCACTCCAGGCCGAATTGGGATTTTGGGAATGAGAAAGAGGTGAACACTGATTTTGTTGAATAGTTAGCAGCTTCTGCTAAACCAGCTTAGATTTCACCATCCAGCATTACAACTCTTCCTTGGGAAATATTGTCAGTTCTTTTGCCCACCATCATATTCACTTGCAAAACCCCAACCTTGGATGAGCCCAACAGCTGTGTATTTCTACCTGGGTACCTAAAGGTTGCCGAAGACAATCACATAACTTTTCTCACTCTTCTTACATATCTCAAATGGGTATTTCTATTTCCATCCAGTTCTCTTGTAGCTTCACTTTCTTACTGTTTCAGAAGGCCATTGCACACCTCTATCTTATCTTCCAGTCTCTAAAACCCATTTTCAGCCCACTGCCAGTTGATGACCGAGTGATAATTCATTGAAGAAAAATAGATGCAACCATGGGTCAATAATCTCATCATCTAACTGCAAAACCAAACAGCTCTATACCTAACTCTGCCTTCTCTCTTGTTGCAATGCAAATTGCATCTTTGTTCTCATGAGGGGTAACCCTTATACTTTTGCTAGGATTCCATCTTTTCTTTTGTCCTGCAATTTTTTGTTTGTTTGTTTCTCTGTTGTTTCATCATTTTTTCCCTTTCTACTGGCTAATTCTTAACATTCCAATACTAATAAATGTATAAACAAATGCTCCTCCTTTCAGCCCCTTCAGCTAAAGCCATTTCCCTGTTTCCATTAAGGGAAGAATAACTAACTCTACACATTTTTATCTTCTCATCTTTCATCATCTTCTCAACTCACCCCTTTAACATCTGTTTCCACATATCCGCTGAAACAGCTCCTGCTAAGATTACCCATAAGATCTCGGTAAGACAGTGAGATCACTTTCTTCTTCCCAAATTCAATAGTCCAATTTTTTTTCTCATTTTATTTGACTTCTCAATAGCACTTGACGTAGTTATACCCACTATCATTTCAGAACATCTGTCTTTAAAGTTTTTTTTTTTCATTTATCTTTTTTAGTTTTGTTTTCCTGTAGATTTTCTAAATGCCACCTTTTTGGATTTCTTCCTACCTTGGTGCTGCCCCTTCTGAGTTTTCGTTACTGTCTGTTCCCTCTAAGGGGACAATGTTCAGGATTGGCCCTTCTTCCCTATCTACACTTTGTCCGTAAGTAATCACACCATGCTCTGTGGCCTTGAACACCTTTCATAGGCAGTTGATCCCAAATATGTATGTTTAAGTTGTGATCTCCAACTAAGCTTTAAAAAAACCCTCCAATTTTATGTTTAATAAATACCTCAAAGCTAATAGTTAAATAAAATATATTTTAGTGTTTCCCTACAAACTAGATCCTTTTCGTGAATGGCAACATCTTTCATCCAGTTGCTCAAGCTCAAAACTAGGAATAAGCCATGACCCCACTCCTTCTTTTACCCATACCTTCATCTGATACATGAATAAGTCCTATCAGCTCTGTCTCGAAATATAGCCTGATCCTAAGAGCTCATCACCTCTAGTGTCCCAGCCCAGGTTCAAACCACTATCCTCTCTTGCCTGAACCATGACAATAGCCCTAAACTCAATTTTCTGACACACTCTTGATCCTCTTATAGTCCATTCCCCACATAGCTTTCTGGAATATGTGTGTGTGTATGTATATATATATATATATATATATGATATGTATATATATATATATATATATATGATATGTATATATATATGTATATATATTATATGTATATATATAATATGTATATATATATAATCTTTAATATAAACTAGAAAGCAATACAAATATCATTTGCCTAAAAACTTCCAATGGCTCCTTTACACATAACTTCAATGAGCATGCCATACTCATATCTGTCTCAAGGCTTTTGTGGTCCTGGCATGTAGAATTCTTTATTCCCAAATTATTCCCAATTAGAGTGTGTGTTTACCTTCACATTATGTAGATCTCAGCTCAAATGTCACTTTTTTGAGAGAAGACTTCATGGATCATCAACAGTTTATTGTTCTTTTGTTGATGAGTGTTAATGTTGAGCATCTTTTCATGTACTTGTTGGCCATTTGTATATGTTCTTTGGTAAAGTGTTCAATTTTTTTTCCATTTCTTTTGGTTAGATAATCTTACTATTGAGTTGTAGAACTTCTTTATATCATCCTGATACAAATCTTTGTCAGACATATGTATTGCAAATATTTTCTCCAGCCTGTGCTTGCCCTTTCTTTTCTTTTCTTTTTCTTTCTTTCTTTCTTTTTTTTTTTTGAGACAGGGTCTTCCTCTGTTGCCCATGCTGGAGTGCAGTGGTGTGATCTCAGCTCACTGCAACCTCTGCCTCTCGGGTTCAAGTGATTCTCCTGCCTCAGCCTCCCGAGTAACTGGGATTAAAGGCATGCACCACCATGCTCAGCTCATTTTTGTATTTTTAGTAGAGATGGGGTTTCACCAGGTTAGCCGGCTGGCCTCAAACTCCTGGCCTCAGGTGATCCTCCCACCTCGGCCTCCCAAAGTGCTGGGATTACAGGTGTGAGCCACCACGCAAGGCCCCTTTCATTATTTAAATAATAATTTTTAAGGAGAAGAAGCATTTTATTTTGATGAAATCCAAATATAGATTAGATTAGATTATATGCAGGGAATTTTTTTCTGTATTAAAAAACCCTTATAGAAAAGCATTCTTGCCAAAATCATGGTCAAGATTTTTCTCTTCTAGAAGTTTTGTAATTTTATCCTCAACATTTATATTTATGTAAGGTAAATTTATGTAAAAGTAAATTTATGTTTATCGTGTGAGTTATGGGGCAAAGATTTACTGTATTTTTGCATACAAATGTCCAATTATTCCAGTCCAATTTCTGGAAAATCCTATTCTTTCTTTTTTTCTTTTCTTTATAATTTTTTTTTATTTTGAGATAAGCTCTCACTCTGTTGCCCAGGCTAGAGTTTAGTGGCTCTATCATGGGTCACTGCAGCCTCAACATCC
Source organism: Homo sapiens (assembly GCF_000001405.40). Classification (NCBI taxonomy): domain Eukaryota; kingdom Metazoa; phylum Chordata; class Mammalia; order Primates; family Hominidae; genus Homo; species Homo sapiens. The sequence goes on along the minus strand of NC_000001.11, from coordinate 242,683,026 downwards.
TGGGTTCAAGTGATCCTCCCATCTCAGCCTCCCAAGTAGCTAGGACTACAGGTGTACACCACCACTCCTAGCTAACTTTTTTTATTTTTTTGTAGATACAGGGTCTTGCTATGTTCCCCAGGCTGGTCTCAAACTCCTGGGCTCAAGTGATCCTCCCACGTTGGTCTCCATTCTTTCTTATCACGGAATTATCTTAGCCCCATTGTCAAAAATCCATTTCTGTCTCAGCACTGTCCAGTAGAACTTTCTGCAATGGTGGATATATTCTGTATCTGTGCTAATACAGTGCCACTAGACAATTGAAATGTGTTCACTTAAAGTATAGCAGGAACTAAAGTTTTAATTTTATTTGCATTTGATAAATTTACATTTACATTTACATAGCCACATAAGGCTAGAAGCCACTATACTGAACAGCACAGTTTTGGAATCTTTCTCCTATTGCATTGATTTCTATTGTTATATCATTACTAACCTGTTTTAATTACTGTCATTTATAATAAATCTTCAAATCAGATAGTAAAATCCTCCAATTTTTTTTTAATTCCCCAAATTGTTTTGCTTATTTTAGGTTATTTGCATAGCCACATACATTTTAGAAGCAGCTTGTGAGTTGCTACAAAAACAGCCAGCTGAGATTATAATTGGGATTACATTGAATTTATACATAAATTCTGGAAGATTTGGCATTCTCATCCATGAACATGATATGTCACTCCATTTATTTATCTCTTCTTTAATTTCCTTTAGCAATATTTTGTAGTGTTGTATATAGTTTATTAAAAAAATTTATAAGTATTTTTTTATTTTTAAGCTTTTGGAATTGGTATTATGTCGATTTGATTTTTGAAATATTTATTGCTAGTATAAGAAATACAATTGATTTTTCTATTTGACCTTCTATCTATCTTGTGATCTTGCTAAGTTCACTTATTGCCTATAGCAGCTTTTTCACTGATTGCTTAAGATTTTCTATATACATAATTATGTCTGCAGCAAAAAGACAGTTTTTCTTCTTCTTTTTTAATCTTCCTGCTTTTTACTTCTTTTTCTTGCCTTATGCTTGATCATAGGGGAGAAACATTTAGTTTTAATATATGGTTACATATAATGAGAGCTGTGTGTTTTCGTTCGTTTGTTTGCTTTGTTTTTGTAGATGCCCTTCATTCGGTTGAGGAAGTTTCCTTGTATTCCAGGTTTGCTGAGAGCTTTTATCATGAATAGTGGTTGAATTTTGTCAAGCACATTTTCTGTATCCATTGAAATAATCATTTGACTTCTCCTCTTAGTTTATTAGTCTTCCTGGTCTATTAATATGATAGACTGCAATGCTCAATTTTCTGATGTTAAATCAAGCTTGCATTAGTGGAGTAAACTCCATTTGGTGATTATATATCGTTTTTATATATATTACATTTTGCAAATGTTTTATTGAGGGTTTTTACCTTTATTTTTATAATACATATTAACCCATAATTTCCTTTTCTTGTGAAATGTTTGCCTGGCTTGGGTATGAGGGCAATGCCAACTCTCTAAAATGAGTCAGCAAATGTTTCCACCATCAATATTAGCTGAAGGAGTTTGCATATGATTAATAGTATTTCCTTCTTAAATGTTTGATAGAATTCCCCAGTGAAGCCAAGTGGACCTGAACATTTCTAGTGGCAATAATTTTTGTTTATTCTTTATTTAAATAACTCCTTCAGTTAGTTTAGGGCAGTGGTTTTCAGCAGAGATAGTTTTGCTCCCAATAGGACATTTGTCAATGACTGGAGACATTTAGGTCACAAGCTGGGGAGCTGATAGTGGCATCCAGTGGATGAACCACGGATCCTGCTAAGCATTCCATAACGCACAAAATATCCCCTCCAACACACACACACACACACACACACACACACACACACACCCCAAATGAGATGCATCAGAACCCCCACCAAGCATGGAAATAAAGGAAAAATTCTGAGGCCCTTCAAGGGAGAGAGACCCTGAAAAGGCTATTATCCATGTACGGAGAGTGGATAACAAATAAATATTGAAAACAACCATATGCCAGTAAAATTGGCATTGACAAATAATTCTACACTAGGAATTCTCCACTTTGGCGCTGCTGACATTTGAGGCAGTGCTTTGTGTTACTGAACTGGACTCAGGTCCGCTTGCCTGGCACAGTCAAGCCAAACACCAACGCTTAGGTTTGCAGCAAGAAAAAGAAGGGTGTTTATTTACAGGCACAATCTGATAAGAAGAATATAGTGATAATTTAAAAAACAGCCTCCCAAGCAAGTCAGAGTCACCAGGTGTTTTGGTTCCCTATAGAAATTAAAAGGTGGGCCAGGCACGGTGGCTCACGCCTGTAATCCCTGCACTTTGGGAGGCCGAGGCGGGCGGATCACCTGAGGTCAGGCGTTTGAGACCAGCCTGGCCAACATGGTGAAACCCCGTCTCTACTAAAAATACAAAAAATTAGCGGGGTGTGGTGGTGGGGGCCTATAATCCCACCTACTCGGGAGGCTGAGGCAGGAGAATGGCGTGAACCCAGGGGGTGGAGGTTGCAGTGAGCCAAGATCCAGCCTGGGCGACAGAGCGAGACTCCATCTCAAAAAAAAAAAAAAGAAAAAGAAAAAAAAAAGGAAAGAAAGAAAAGAGAAGAAATGGAAAGATAACCTCGTAACCTATGTTCTTGAGTTGTTTTTCAGAAAGACCGACCCCCACCAGATGGAAAATGCTGACTGCTGTCACGCACATCTCAGATGAGCGGGAACGAGCGGGAACGAGCGGGAACTGACTGAACTCTTGACAGCTGTTCTTATTCTCAATTTCTTCCTGAGGGGCCTGGAGTCACGCCCACAGGCCAAATCTTCACCTTTGCAGCCAGTTGCAAATCAAACAATTGCTGAAGCTTCAAGCCGCTGCTTCACCATATCCTGCCTTTTGAGGCCAAACTACTGTACAAGCCCCAGGTACGATTTTGCCTGTAACTTCTGCTTTCCTGGAAGGCACCCAGCCTTTAAAAACCCTGCTTGTAAGCCATCCGGGAGGTCAGGTCTCAAGCATTAGCCGCTTGCCCTCCTTGCTTGGTGCTCTGAAAATAAACCTCCTTCTTTCTCTTGCTGCAAACCTCAGTGTCAGTGTTTGGCTTTACTGTGCCAGGCAAGTGGACCCAAGTTCAATTCGGTAACGCAAAGTACTGCCTCAAATGCCAGTAGTGCCAAAGCGGAGAATCCCTAGTTTAGAACGGTCAACGTCAAGTTTATTAGCATATAGTTATTTATAATATTTATTATCCATTTTGTAATATTTGTAGTAATATCTTCTCTTTGATCCTTCACGATATTGGTAATTTTCTCTTCCTCCCTCCCTCCCTCCCTTCCTTTCTTCCTTCCTGCCTTCCTAGTCTAACTGAAAGTTTACAATTTTACTAATTTTTACAAAGAGCCACTCAGCTCTTGGGTTTCATTGATTTTCTTTTGAGTTCATGGAGTTTCTGTATTGTTTTATTTCCCTGGGTTCATTGATTTTTCTATTGCATTTTGGTTTTTTATTTCATTGATTTTTCCTCTTTTCTTTGTTATTTCCTTTTTCTACTTATTGCAAGTTTAATTTGCTCTTTGTCTCCAAACTTCATAAATTGGAAGCATAGAAATTGACGTGGGATTTTTTTTTTTTAAGGTGGAAGCTCAGATATGGTTGGGACCCATATTCTTTTCTTACGTAAGCATATAAAGCTATTTATTTTATTTAAGTACCTCTTTAGCTGCGTCTGCAAATGTTATGTTATTTTCATTTTCATTTAGGTCAATGTTTTTTAACTTTCTCTGTGCCCTGCACAAGTTATTCAGTAATGTATAACTGAATTTCTATGTATTTGGGTATATTTCTAATATCTTTTTGATTTGATGTATAATTTTTTGTCAGATAGCATACCCTGTTTGATATCAGCCCTATTCTATTTATTGGGACTTGTTTTGTGGTTACTTAAAAGGAACATGTATTCTGCTGTTTTGGATAGCATATTCTATAAATGTCGATAAGGTCAAGTTGATTGATAGCAGTAGGCAAATCTTTTGTATCTTTACTTTTCTTCTACTTAAAAAAATTATTTCATGAGACAGTTGTTGAAATCTCCAACCTAATTGGGGATTTGTCTATTTCTCCTTCCCATCCTGTCAGTTTCTATTTTTGTGTTTTGAGAATGTCTTAGTATGTGTTTGTGAATGTGTTTTGAGAACGTCTTAGTAGGCCGCTACACATTTAGGATTGTTATATCTTATTGATGAATGGATCCCTTTACCAGTAAAGTCTCTCCGATTACTCTTTTGGTTGCTGGAGCGTTCTCGTTGTTCTGCAGTTCTCCTGCTAGCTTTCAGCAACTGCTTTGCTGCTCCCAGCCTTTGAAGGACTACTGCCTTGCATTCACTGATGGCTCACAATGTCTTGTGGAGATTTCTTTCAGTTTGGATAAGAGCAGCTGCAAGTCTCTCCTGTCCTGGGCAGGACTTTCCCTGGAGTTTAATTTCAATTACATTGTGGTCTCAGTTCCCTAATAGGTTTTAAAACTACATTAAAAAAATACAGCTTATTTTCCTTGTTATGGAGGAAATTATAGTCTCTGGTGATTTCCTATATCCTAACTGGAACAGAAGTCTTCATAGAACTGTAATAAAGAAATGCATTTATTCAACAAGTATTTTTCAAGGGTCTAAAAGTTTCAGGCACTCAGCTGGGTGCTGGGAACATGGTAGTAAAAATAAGAACATCCCTATCACCAATATCACCATTGAGCTTACATAGTATTTGAGTGTAGGTGGTATTGATTACTGAAGAAAAATAAAGCAAGCAACAGGACAAAAAATAATGGGTACTGCCATTTTATATAAGGTGAGCAGGGCATGACTTTCTGAGGGCAAATAGATGGATAGAGACCTGAATGAAGCGAGGAAGTAAGCCACGCAGATATCTGGGAAAGTGTTTCTCAGGTAGAGGGTATGATTGTCTCAATGTTATAGATTCATGGAGGGTCAGAGCTGCTTCATAATTTCCCAAAAATTCACACAGGACTGTTGAGCGGTAGAGGTGAGATTCCAAGTTGGGTCCATCTGGTGCTGAAGCACAGGCTTGGAAATCAGCTGTACTCTGTTGGGTTCTACTACCCAGGTGAACTATTTTCAAGTGGTTGAAACATGTTTTAGCACCTGATGAAGTATGAAGAACGCGTTTCTACTACAGACTGAGGGCAGAAGCCTAAAAGCTGAATGGACTATGTATGGCTTTGCAGAGAGTGTTGAGTCTAGCAGACTCCAACAGCAACGTCAAGAATTACGTTATGAAGTGTCTTGCAGCTTGGCAGTTGAACCTCATAAAAGATGGGTCAAGAAAAGAGTCAACTCTAAATAATCCAAATTAGAATAATGAATTAAGTCTGCTTGTGTTGGCTTGGAAAGATCTTCTCTAATGCTTTTGGGATCAGGATGGGGAGAGTTGGTGGGGGATGAGTGGGGGACAAAATTACAATGAGAATGGATTGTAACTACATGTCACGTAATGACATTTCATCAATGACGGACCACATGTACCATGGTGGTTCCATAATATTATTATTATTTTTTGAGATGGAGTTTCACTCTTGTTGCCCAAGTGGAGTGCAATGGCATCATCTTGGCTCACTGCAACCTCTGCCTCCAGGTTCAAGCGATTCTCATGCCTCATCCTCCCAAGTAGCTGGGATTACAAGCATGCGCCACCACGCCTGGGTAATTTTTATTGTATTTTTAGTAGAGATGGGGTTTCACCATGTTGATCAGGCTAGTCTCAAACACCTGACCTCAGGTAATCCACCCGCCTCGGCCTCCCAAAGTGCTGGGATTACAGGCGTGAGCCACTGGGCTCGGCCGAGATTATAATACTGTATTTTTGCAGTGACTTTTCTATGTTTTGATATGTTTAGGTGCACAAGTACTCACCATCGTGTTACAGCTGCCTACAGTATTCAGTAAAGTAACATGCTGCACAGGTTTGTAGCCTAGGAGCAATAGGCTGTACCATATAGTCTAGGTGTGTGGTAGGCTGTACCACCCAGTTTTGTGTAGGTACACTCGTTGATGTTCACACAGTGATAAAATTGCCTAACAATGCATTTCTCAGAATATATTCCCATCAATAAGCAACACGTGACTGCATTTATCTGGGAGCATATAGGTCATAATGTTGAGATTTTGTAGAAAATACAGCAGAGGCTCAAAAACCATACTAAGTGGACAACAGATTTAATCACATCATTATTGTCAAGAGTGAACAGGAAATACTGAAGCTCATAAAGTCCTAATGGAGCTAAAAATAGTCTTCCTAAGCTTGTCGAAGCTCCTCTTGCAGTGAACATCACTGCTGGGACAGTGCTTCTACTTTTGTCTCTGGTAAAGAGACATTAGCTAATATTAAGGTAAACATCAAGTCAATTCAAATTAACCCTGCCCTGCTCCATTTTTTTTTCATTGTCAACTCTAACGTTTGTTTTCCACTTTAATTCCAGTCATCAAAGCCCATAAAGAAGTGATGAATTATTTATGTTTTGCATAAACATGAAGGGCCATCAATACCTACTGGTGAATTGAATAAAGGTTTAGTTATGCTTCACATTTTCCTGCGGTTGAGAAATAGGAAGTATCATGACAGGTAGCATTTCCAAACAGCCAAAAAATATATCCTTTAAAGCATTGCAATTTTTAGATACCTGAAAATCTTGAATGTTATCATTACCTACTCCTTTAAAAAATTGATTACCCAACCAATATATTAATAAATTCTTCTTATAATAAAATAAAGCATTAAAGTTAAGCCTAAAGTTTTCTTTAACCACCATGCCTAGTTTTTGTCTTCTTCTCAACGCCCTAGAGATAACTGCTGTCAGAAGTTTGATGTCTATCCTTCCAGATACTTTGCTATGCTTATGAAAATATATGTGATTGAGTGGGCCTTAAAAATACATTATCCTGCTTCCTGTATTGTTCTGCAACTTGCTTTATGATTCAACAGTATTTCTTTATCTGATTTCTTTTTAAGAGAACAAATTCATTTTGTCATTTTCAGTCTTCACAACAGAACACAAACAAAATAAACTAATCTATACGTGGTTAGTTTTACTGTTCTAAATTTTGGTTCAACAGAATGCAACTGGATTAAACCAATCCAGTGCAATTTCAAAAAAAGGTGCGCAGACAAGGCAAGAAAAATAAAAGCAGAGAGCCCGAGGTTGCCTTCAGTGGATGACTCGACCAAGACTTCCTTAAAGGGACAGTTTTTTTTTGCATTTGGGCATCAATATACATTTCTGATATAAAGAAACCAGCTTTGAATGTTTGTGAAGTATCTTTGCATTATTCCAGTGACTCGTAGGGACCGTGAGCATATAGACCCCTCTTCAGTGCCATTGCATAAGTTGATTCTGCCTCTTCCTGGCTTAGTATTATTGAAAAACTGTCAACAGACCCAAGGGCTAGCCTATGCTATCTAAGAGGTTGGGACTGTATCTTGTAACTGCTGATGATGACTGAATGCCAGTGTGCAGGAATACAGAGCTCCCTGTGACACAAGTATTGGTGTAGAAAATGGTTCAGGAGAGACTGTGGCCCTTCTCCCAGGAGGGCATATGGAGTAGCCTCTGGATGGCCTCCATTATTCAGCGTAGAAAATACCTCGATGGATTGGAGACACATATGCAGGAAAAAAGTGCTGGTGTAAACAAGCACGCCAATCAATAGGGGGGAAATGCAGAATTTCGTGCTATTAAACTTGCTTGTGCTTCACAGGCAATTCTTGGCTGGCTTTTTCATTAGAGAGAAGTGTGGCCATTGTGAGTCACTCTCCTACCTGCCAGAGCCATTAATCTGTAAGCGCCTGTTAGATCACGCTTGCTGCCTGTTCAAGATGCAACTGTTCTCAGTGAATACGTAGGGCCATGTGATAATACAATTCCCCTGTGTTGTATCTTTTAATTTAAGAAAATTATAAAATAAATAGAAATGTTACAGTCTGCAACTATTTAACGAGGTAAGAAATAGCTTAATTCTCAATTAAATTATAAATTTCCTGACTCAACAAACCCAGCTTCCATACCGTCCATATTCTTGTCCATATTGAGAGTGCTGACTCTTCTTATTGTTGCAAGCAATGAGGCAAAGCCTTATACCATTTCTAGAGCCCCTAGAAACCTATCTTCACAGCATTTTCCATTTCTAACTCTGTTCAAACCATGAGAATTTGTTTATACGGACAAATATTGCTTTTTTGACTCCTCTTCTCTAGATAGTCACTTGGGAATATTGTCTTGTTGCTTTTCTTTTCAGGAGCACCTAAAGCAATATAACCAGTAGGAACAAAACTAAAATGAGAGCTTTTGAAAGCAAACCACCAATGCCTGTCCTGATTTGGCTATACTCATATCCTTTTGTTGTGTCTTATTCTAAAATTTGTTACTCCTGATCATGGTGTAACTTATGATTGCTCACCATTAAAAAATTAATGAAGGATTTATTTAAAAATTCATTTGCAGGCTGGGTGTGGTGGTTCACACCTATAATCCCAGAACTACGGGGTGCCAAGGCAGGCAGCTCACTTGAGCCCAGGAGTTCGAGACCAGCCTGGCCAACATGGTGAAACCCCGTCTTCACTAAAAATACAAAAATTAGCTGGGCGTGGTGGGGTGCACCTGTAAATCCCAGCTACTCAGGAGGCTGTGGCAGGAGAATCGCTTGAACCCGGGTGGTGGAGGTTGCAGTGAGCCAAGATTGTGCCACTGCACTCCAGGCTGGGCAACAGAGTGACATCTCAAAAAAAATAATAAAAATAATAATAAAAATTCCTTTGCTTGTAAGTGTGCCATTTGCTTTCTTATCATGGAACGTTCTTAAGACTGGAGGGGAATGAGACAATGCATTAAGAGTTGGAATTGGCATACTCTTCTATTACTACAGCTTTAATTATTTTATTTTGAAATAATCTAAAACTTACATAAAAGTAGCAAGCATAGTACAAATTACTTTTGCCCTTGAACCCTCTGAGAGTAAGTTATCAGCATGATGCCCATCACTGCTGTAGTGTGTATTTCTTACAAATAAGAGCATTCTTTTCTATAGCCACAATGCAACCATCAGTATCAGGAAATGAACAGACCCCATTCAAGATCTGCCAGTTGTGTCAATAACAAAAAGATGATTCATACTTGTGTTGTGTTTTTCCTGCCTCAGCCCTCATTCCGAAATTCAAAGATCCTTGGATCCTTTTAGTGCCGAATAGTATTTAGAAGCCAAGCATTGTTATTTAGTAGTGATTATTGCTTTTGGGGTGTTGCAGCTCTCAGTCCCTCTCAGAAGACAGGGCTAGGATATGTTTGTACCTGCACATACACATTTACATCTTTATTTCTATATTTAACTATTTGTACACAGAAATTTATGAGTTTACATCAGTACCTCCAATGTCAACCTAACACTACAGAATGCATTCTTGTTTTCTCCCTTTCTGTATTTGTAACTCTCTTCTCTAACAGTGAGAAACCTGGCTCCCATTATCCTTAACAGACTTATTTGTTTGTTTGTTTTTGAGACAGGGTCTCACTCTGTCACCCAGGCTGGAGGGCAGTAACATGATCACTGCTCACTGCAAGCTCCACCTCCTGAACTCAATTGATCCTCCCACCTCAGCTTCCTGAGTAGCTGGGACTACAGGCACATGCCATCATGCCCAGCTAATTTTTGTATTTTTAATAGAGACGGAGTTTTACCATGTTAGCCAGGCTAGTCTCGAACTCCTGAGCTCAATCGATCTGCCTGTCTCGCCCCCTTTAAAGTGCTGGGATTATAGGCCTGAACCACCACACTTGGCCAACATACTTATTTGATCAATTTCCCATACGTAATCCATTGACTATAACACCGCTGCTTCTCCCAGGCTGATGCCTCCTCACCCTACTTAAGCTCTGGTAACTTGTGCCATGCCACTTTCTGCTTTCTTCATCCCATTTGTCCACTAATACCCTGCCACAGGATGCTCTTTCTTATGGGTGCCCTTCTGTTGCTAAAATTTTGAAAGTGGTTTCCTGGGACATTCCTGTGCTCTGGATCCTTCAAGCCACTCCCAGGGCTTTGCAGTGATCTTTAAGCTCATTGGTTTGACATGGAGCAGACTAGGCAAATAGTAGCAGCAATTGATTCAGCAGAAGTTGTGTCAAGTTTCAAGTATGCCTCTTCATGGAAGGGGGAAATAGGCTATGACCAGTCGTTCTCTTTTTCTGCTGCTCAATATAACTAAGGGCCTTGCACTTACTTATTCTTAGGAATAAATGTTGCTGGTAGCTCATCCTGTGACCTCCTGCATGGCTATCCTGATGCACTGTCAAATCCAAGATGAACCATACAGGATGATTGAGGAAGGTGGCAAGGACAGACCCATTGTAAGCTACAGTATACCAAGGAGAGGTAAGGGCTTGTGGCAAAGAGAAAGGTTGATGTAACTGCTTTGGTAACATCAGCAGGAACACAGTTCTTTATTCATAATTGGTATTTTTTTTCTTTTTTTTAATTATACTTTAAGTTCTGGAGTACATGTGCAGAACGTGCGGTTTTGTTATATAGGTATACATGTGGCGTGGTGGTTTGCTGCACCCATTAACCTGTCATCTATATTAGGTATTTCTCCTAATGCTATCCCTCCCCTAGACCCCACCTGCTGACAGGCCCCATTGTGTGTTGTTCCCCTCCCTGTGTCCATGTGTTCTCATTGTTCAACTCCCACTTATGAGTGAGAACATGCGGTGTTCGGTTTTCTGTTCTTGTGATAGTTTGCTGAGAATGATGGTTTCCAGCTTCATCCATGTTCCTGCAAAGGACATGAACTCATCCTTTTTTATGGCTGCATAGTATTCCATGGTGTATATGTGCCACATTTTCTTTATCCAGTCTATCATAGATGGGCATTTGGGTTGGTCCCAAGTCTTTGCTATTGTGAATAGTGCCACAATAAACATATGTGTGCATGTGTCTTTATGGTAGAATGATTTATAATCCTTTGGGTATATACCAAGTAGTGGGATTGCTGGGTCAAATGGTATTTCTACTTCTAGATCCTTAGTTGGTAATTTTAAAAGATGGCTGGGCTCAGTGGCTCAAGCCTGTAATCCCAGCACTTTGGGAGACCAAGGCAGGTGAATCACCTGAGGTCAGGAGTTCAAAACCAGCCTGGCTAACATGGTGAAACCTCGTCTATACTAAAAATACAAAAATTAGCCAGGTGTGGTGGTGTGTGCCTATAACCGCAGCTACTCAGGAGGCTGAGGCAGGAGAATCGCTTGAACCTAGGAGGCAGGGGTTGCAGTGAGCCGAAATCACGCCACTGCACTGCAGCCTGGGTGACAGGGAGAGACCCTGCCTCCAAAAAAAAAAAAAAAAGATTCGAACACACTTTCACCTCCAGTTGCTTTTATTGGTTTTAGTTTTTGGTCTTTCCTATTTCCAAAAACACAAATTCAGTGTTGCCTTTTGGAGTAAAGTTTCTAGAGATTCCTGGATCAGATGGAGGAAAGTTTCTTGCTAAAAACCCAGGGTGTTGGTGAGAGTGATCAATTTGTCCTCCTTTCTTCAGGGTAACAGCTTTATAGCATTTAGCTTTAGGTCCTGCCATAGCAATGTTCACATTTTAATTTGCATTTCCCAGCATGTTTCCCCTGTGACATGTCATCATAGTGTTTAGAGACAACTTATAAAAAAATCTTTCATAGTACTTCCTGGGTGAAGGCATGGTTGACCTGGAAGGTATTGTTTAGGGCATGGAGAGAACAATGCTTCCTCTGCTGTTTCTCATGGTAGATTTATGGGGGCACTGACTGGAGAAATTCTACTCAATTCATGGCATACAATTCATGCTCTTCTTTTAGCTTGCCAGAGAGTTCTACAAGCCCCCCCACCCCAAGTCTTTCCAAAATTGGTAAATTCCACCTTTTTCCCAAGGATCCATGATTTAAACCTTGCCACTTAGAAAGGAGGTTGGAATCAAACAACCTCTTTTGACTGGAAAAGAGACAGTAAACATTTTTACAGTTATTTTGCCTCCATAGCAAAATGCTGGCATCAAAATCATACAAAACTCAAGGCATTTTCCCCCTTTTTTTCAACCTCTCCTCTGATCCTCTCCAGAGAAACTTGATTTTCATGTTGTGTTTTATCCTTCTCTAATATCTACTGGGCTTTATGGTAAGAATGTCGGGTGGAATTGTTCACATGGTTCACACTGCTCTTTTCACTCTATTTCTTGTGCTCCATTATGCCTTGGCCCCAGATGACAAAGCCAAGGTGACAGGTGAAATATGGGACTAGAGTATTCTACTGAGGCTGCCAGCAAGAGCCCAGAGGCCTTGCAGAAGTCTCCAGAGCTAACTCTTCACCCCCATGCATGCTGTAGGACACAGCAAGCCCCGGATAAAGTAGGTGAGGCTCCCTTCCAAGGTAGTCTCTCTGCACGTCCCTGCCACTGGCCTCTACCTTCAACTTGGAGGACAAGTTGCTGATTTCTTGGGAAGACAAATCCTGCAGATGCTGAACAACAGACTTCCATATTATTCAAGAGAGGATAGGCAACATAATTTAAAATGTTTCCCCTTGATTTCATGTCATCAGTGTATGGGCAACATCATTTATGTATTGCAAGCTGGAGACGTCTTTGAGGCTGTTGTGATACATAGCTCCCTTGACCTATACTAATGGACCAGACTGCTCAGCTTTCTTTGTTCTTACATTTGCTCTTAATTTCCTGGCTCATTCTTCACTGTCAGGAAGTTAGATAACATATCTGCTGTTAGTCCGCTGTTTTTTAACATCCACATTCTCTTCTAATTTGCTTTGGGCAAATAACCCAAACAGAACTAGCTTTTAGATGGAAACAAAAATATGAACTTGGAAAACACATTTTTAGGTAATAGGCTTTAGTACATGAAATTGGACTGTCATTCCACCTGCTTGTAAGCTTTTAACATTTACCTTTATGCTAAGCTGCATTTGAGAAGAGGTTATTTGAGGCCTGATCTCCAGATAGTATGCTGGATTGCTATTGTATATTAGAATTTTATTAACTTGATTTTATAGCAAAGTTACTGTCAATCAACACACACACACACACACACACACACACACACACACTCTTATACTCTTTGAGTTGTAGTTCGATTACAAAGCACACGCTTAAACTTGCAGAATCCACTCTAGTTATGTGAAAGGGAAAGGAATGCACTATAAACTAATAAAAGGGTTATAATATCATTGAAAGAGCTGGAGAAGCAGGCTTCAGGCTGAGCTCCCAGCAACAACTCTCTGCTTCTAGAACTATTCTGCTTGTGCTACAAATAGGAAAGAAGAAAATGAATTTTCATGAAGAAAAATAACAATGAAATGAGTATATAAAATCTGAGTAGCACCTTCTTTCAGCGAAGGCAGCATTTGTACAGCAGTGTGTATAGCAACAGACATAGCTGGGGAGGGTGCAGAGGAAGCTGTCTACACCTGTGGGGAGGAGTATATGTATTATCATTGAAATTATCTAGAATTGCTGGAACATGTGGTGATCATAAAAGACAGGCCTAATTTTAGCAGGCTTTGTGATTGTTTTTAAATTCTCTATAGAAAATGCACCCCCTTATTGTAGGTCTCCAGGACAGATGGTTCTCACTGCCTAATTTAAGTAGTTGCTGCTATGTGGTATAAGTAACTCTTAGAGTAACTTCCTATTATTTTACAGCTTGGCTACAGGATGATGATTATTTAATGCAGGATGCATTTATGAAATGTGTTTTTCTGACCACCTCACTGAACATACACAAGCACTTCATAAACATCATCTTTATAAACATTAGGGAACAAAGAGATGAATAAATGGGCTGGTTCATTACGTCTGTGTGCTCATCCAAATGTGATACAAGCAACTGTGTTAAATTTGTTTTCCAACCAATGTGTACATATATCTTTGGAGAACAACAAAATAGATAATTTGGTATTCCCCAGGGCACCTTTAGACCTTGTTACTGCATTTTGAGACTAAAACAGCTTAAACAAGTTACACAGCTTTGTCATCTCATCCTCTCTTTCATTTCTTGACTCTGCAAACTCTATCTGAAACTGACTTTGATGAATGCCTCAAGTCATTTTTAATGTTCTTGTTCAATTGTGTTTTACATGTTGTTCTTGGCCAAGACCTGATTTTTTTTTGGGGGGTTGCAAATATTCTTGTAATTATCTTTAACATTCCCCATGGTTGATTTGAAAATATCTTCTCAATTGCTTCATGCAGCAATGGCTCAGCATGTTTTATAATATAGAGGAGACCTAGTGAAATGAGAATGAACACTGCATTTCCTGGTAACCCCAAAGTAGCAAACTTCCCAGTCATTTCTTCCCAATAAAAATGATTTACTTATTGGGCTTTTCACCTTCCTTTCTTATTTACTATATCAGTTAGTTTTTGTTGAGTGATAAACCACCCCCAAAAGGTTTAGAACCAAATCATTGATTTAGTTAATGGTTCTGTAGGTCAGCAAGTTGAGCTGGGTTCAGCTGGGTGGCTCTTCTGTTATGGGCTAGGCTGATCTACTTGGGGGAGGCTCATGTGTCCTAGCCAGTTGACAGGTTGCTTTGGGCTGTCTGATCATCAGTCAGGAAGCCTCAGTCTTTCACATGGTCTTTCATTCTCTAGCAGGCTAGCTTCAACTGTCTTAGAAGGTGGCAGTGTTCTGGGAGCAGCAAGCTTTCAATTCTCGACTAGCATCATATTTTACAAATAATAAGGTCCTCCTAGATTCAAGAGATGAAAGAGTACTCTAGCTCTTGATGGGAAGAGCTCTGCAAAGTCACGTTGCAGAGTTGTGGAAGGAAATTTGTAGTCATTCTTGGAGTCTACTACATTCATATACATTCACATCTAAACATATATATACACAGCTGGGCACGGTGGCTCACGCCTGTAATCCCAGCACTTTGAGAGGGCAAGGCGGGTGGATCACAAGGTCAGGAGTTTGAGACCAGCCTGGCCAACAAGGTGAAACCCCGTCTCTACTAAAAATACAAAAATTAGCTGGGCATGGGTGCATGTCTGTGGTCCCAGCTACTTGGGAGGCTGAGGCAGGAGAGTTGCTTGAACCCGGGAGGTGGAGGTTGCAGTGAGTCGAGATTGCACCATTGCATTCCAGCCTGGGTGACAGAGCAAGATTCCATCTCAAAACAAACAAACAAACGAACAAAAAACACCAAAAAACAAAACAATACAAAAAACCATATACATACCAAATTTGAGGTAGGTCAATATGGAAAAAGTGGAAATCTAATGACATATATTAAGTATGGGTGCATCGAAAAATTTTAGGCAATTACAAAACTGTTTCATAAATCTTCAATTAAAATTGATACTGAAGTAAGGTATTCTACATGATCCACAGATTTGGGCTACCACTTGGCCCACAGCTGTGTGATCCTAGAATGCATGTCCTTGAGAAATGAATCATCAAAGGTAGGAAACAAATGTTGTGATCACATATAACTTCCACTAACTGTGCCAGGGAACAGAATGCTGGGAAAGAAGGAAAGAATCAGATAATATTGACTGAAGAGATCACTCTTGAACTGAGATTTAATGACAGGTGGGTAGAAGGAAATGGTATGAAGCAGGAGAATAATAGCTCCCTAAGGCTAGAGAGATGTACAAATACAGGAAACTGGATTATCTCTTTTACATGGAGGGCACAGGGTCACTCATACAGTATGAGATAAATCCATATAATACATCTTTGTTATCTGTCACTTGGCTAGTCTTGAGACTGGGATTTCAGATATCTCCCTAAAATTAATTTAGAATATTAAACCAAAATAGAATACAAATAGACCAACCAGATGATGCATTTCCTAGCAGCTTTCTAAAGGCTTGTAATGTATTGGTTACGTTGCTTGGAGATAAATAATAAACATAAATAAATACAATGGGGTGGGATACAGTGGCTCACACCTGTAATCCCAGTGCTTTGGGAGGCCAAGGAGGAACGATTACATGAGGCCAGTAGTTTGAGACCAGCCTGGGAAACGTAGTGAGACCCTGTCGCTACAAAAGATGCAAAAATTAGCTGGGAATGGTGGCATGTGCCTGTCGTGAGCTTTTCAGGAGGCTGAGGTGGGAGGATTGCTTGAGCCCTGGAGTTTGAAGCTGCGGTAAACTATGATAACGCCACTGCACTCCAGCCTGGGCAATACAGTGAGACTCTGTCTCAAAAATTTAAAAAGTAAACAAAATAAATACAATAGGAGGAAAAGATGGAATTTTGCCAAGAAATGCTAAAAGTAGAAGCTTCTTCAGAAAGTTTTATAGAGCAGCCAAGCCTAAAAGTGTGATGGATGAATAAGGATGTCCATTCACTCTGCCTGAGAGCCTGCCTGGATCGTCTGTAAGAGTGAACCATCGCCTGATGCACCTTAGGCACAGGCACTTCCTCCTATGTCCCATAGTGGCTTCTGGAAATAAAGAACAGAGAGACAGGAAAATCAGTACCATTGACTAGTTGGTTGGGAGATTCCTCTGATGGATTCACATGACCTTCTGCCACTCACACTAGACTTGTCTCCAGCATCTGCTGATGGTGCTAGTATATATATATGTATTTTTTAGGGTTGGGTGCTGTCTACTTCCTTCCCACTAACAAGCAAAAAATGTACGTTCTAAACTCCAAAGAAGCTTCAGTCCTTTCCCTAAGTAAATGGATTACAAACTATTCAGAAAGTGCAAAGTGTTGTTTTTAGTGGTGAAGGTGGTGAAAAGTTGCTGTTATTGACAACCAGCTAGTAATTTAGCTATCAGCCCTGTCCTGAACATGAGCCTGGAATTTCTTGGCCTAGACCTGGGAGGCACCCTTCATCCCACCCTCCCTGGTTTTCGTTTTTCCTGGTACCCAAGTTCTTTTTTTTTTTTCTTTTTCTTTTGAGACGGAGTCTTGCTCTGTTACCCAGGCTGGAGTGCAGTGGTGTGATCTCAGCTTACTGCAACCTCTGCTTCCTAGGTTCAAGTGATTCTCCTGCCTCAGCCTCCTGAGTAGCTAGGATTACAGGTACCTGCCACCACCCTGGGCTAATTTTTGTATTTTTAGTAGAGACAGGGTTTCACCATGTTGAATGTTGGCCAGGCTGGTCTCGAACTCCCAACCTCAGGTAATCCAACTGCCTCGGCCTCCCAAAGTGTTGGGATTACAGGTGTGGACCACTGCGCCTGGCCCAAGTCTTTTTAATCCCATCCCCAGCAAGGGCTTTCCCCAGCATCCTTTTAGTAGAAGGCTTCAGGTCTCCAAGTAAGATGTGAGTCAGAGCTCTTCTCTCTCCATCCTCTGTTGCTTAGATGGGTGAAACGGAAGTGTCTAAAGGCAAAGTCAGAAAGGGCGAGGGTATCCAAGTGGTCCCTGGGTCTTTTTCAATTGGACCATATTTTATTTCATTTATTTGTTCATCCCTGTTTATTTAATATAGGATTATTTATCTCATCCTGTGATGAAATAATATTATAACCTACCTCGCACATTTTTATGAGGAAATGGGTTATTCCATGTGAAAGCAATTGGAACAGTGCCTGGCACATTGTAAGTACTCAGTAAGCATCAGCCATATTCATTGTCAGTTCTCTGCTTGGCACTCCAAGGACTGGGGCTGGAATAGTAGCCTCTGCTGGGGGCTGCACATCTGCCAGGAATCCCTGCCACCTTCAGTGGCACTGGTGTCCCTCACATGGCTACCATGATGTCTAGGAGGTTCCCAAACTGCATAGTATTTGGTGAAGTTGTTGAACATGACTTTTCCTCTCTTTTGTGTTCCAATCCATTAGGATTATACCAAAGCAATACCACTTTATACCCCTGTGCCTTACCAAGTTGTAAATGCAATGAAATCTTGAATGGAAATTGCTCTTCTAGTTTTTATCCACAGCTTTCATACCACCCTTAGGCTGTAGGCATGGGTAGCACAGACATCATGTATTGAGTCAAGGTCATGGTGAGGGTATCATGGTACAGAAAAATCTAAGGGACAGACATGTACTGTTTCAAGTCATTCAGCAAAGTATACTGAGTGCCTTCTGTGTGCCAGGTAATGTATTAGGAGCTGAGTTGCATCAGTGATTGGAGAGGAAGGAATTCAACATCTGGCTGGGGCTCATCTACCTCCTTTACTGGAAGAACACCTCCAAGGGAAAGAAAAGGCAGAGATCCTTCTGATCTCCTTGTCAGCTAAACATCTGTGTGAATGGACGAATGATATTTGCTAGGAAAAAATATTTTAACTATTGGATAACCTTAGCCGGATGTCCCTAGCCAATGAATTACTTAGAGTATATAAACCCAGAACCTATGACAACCTAAAGGATGTCTCTCATGTCCTATTCCTCTCTGTGCTGTAACTTAAAAGTGCTGCCTACTGGCCGGGCGTGTGGCTTACACCTGTAATCCCAGCACTTTGGGAGGCCGAGACGGGTGGATCACAAGGTCAGGAGTTCGAGACCAGCCTGGCCAACAAGGTGAAACCCCATTCCTACTAAAAATACAAAAATTAGCAGGACATGGTCGTGGGTCCCTGTAATCCCAGCTACTCGGGAGGCTGAGGCAGAAGAATCACTTGAAACCTGAAGGCAGAGGTTGCAGTGAGCCGAGATTGGGCCATTGCACTCCAGCCTGGGCAATAAGAATGAAACTCTGTCTCAAACAAACAAATAAACAAAACAACAACAGCAACAACAAAGTGCTGCCTACTGTGTTTGGAACCCTGCAAAACTTCACTTGGCAACTTTGTGTATTATTCTGAGCAATAGAGAATGTGTCCAGTTCTGGGCCAGGGAAGTCATGTGGGTGTTCCTGATCTCTCTTTCTTTATGCTGCATGGTTGACTGTACCTTTGAAATATCTAGCAAACCTTGATACTGAATAAGTTCTGATCCACTTGAGTCTAAACTGGCGATCTAACCCAGTGTGTAATCTTATGCCTTGTGTGACCACAACGGACAAAAATTCTTCTCTTTGATGTAGCTTCCTTTCATCCTGGGGAAATCTTCTTTCTTCTGTTGAACGAGGCTTTGTTACTGAGTCAAGCTCTAGCACATTATAGCATGGTGGTTAGGAGCAAAACTTTGATGCCAAAGTGCTGGGATTCCATACTAGCCCCATCCGGTATTGAGGCCCCAACCATTAGCTGTGTGACTTCATGCAACTTGCTTAACCTATCTGAACCTCAGTTTCTCCATCTGTAAAATGGGAATTATAATGGTGCCCATCTCGTGGAGTCACCGTGAGCTGGATTAACACAGAGAATGTCCTAGGAATACTGCTGGCACTTAGCAAAGGCTATGTCAGTTTTAGCTAGTATTATTCCTTGAAGATTTCTTTTCTAGGCATCTCAGAAGTCTTAGCATGGACTGACTCTGGCTACCTTCCCTAGCAGTTTATTATACATGTCTAGACATCATTCATGGGCATAAATGTGAATCAACATCTTATATAGATCACTTGTCACCTTTGTGTATACATCACAAACTGAATTTACTTTAAACCGAAATCACTTATTAAAACCATTTTTATAACATCAGTTTGAGATTTGATGGGTTATTTTTATTTATCGTGATTCTTCCCTAACTCAAACATTAAAATTTTATTTCTAGGGTATCTCATAGTGCAAAAATATGTTTACATTGAGAATGATTATACAACCCATTCACATATAATATTAAATAATATTACTTAATTTGCTGTAAACTGAATCTTCCCTGTGGACAAAATGATAGAAAAAATTATATTGTTAATTATCTCCAAAGTTCAAATTCCCTACAGTAACCTCTGGTAGAATAATTTGAATGTGGCCTCAGGTGTTGATTTTTGAAATGCAAATACAGTTCAATTAGGCGCAGCAGCTGTGGCTAAGGCATTGCTGCCTACACTCTAGTTTAATGAGAATTGATTTGTCAGTATGTATGTTTTCATAGGATTGCTCAGTAATCTGGCCTCCGTATTCTATTTCTTCCTAACTTTCTGAATCAAGTGATTCTCACACAGAGCCCGCTGTTGGCTCGTGGGTTTTTTTTTTTTTTTTTGCATTTTAAAAATAATTTCCTTTATAGGAGAGAATATGTCTTCTATAATTTAATCTCTCTAGGCATCTGATATATAGTCTGACACCTAATAGATACTTTTCTAATATTTGTTAAAAAATACATAAGTCGCTGAAATGCAAACCTCTGGAAGGTTAAAGAATTTGGCCACAGTGTACCTATAATAGCTTTTGTAAAATTACTCTGTATTTATCTACAAAGAAGCTATTATTTCTTTTTTTTTTTTTTTTTTTTTTTTTTTTTTGAGACGGAGTCTCACTCTGTTGCCCAGGCTGGAGTGCAGTGGCACGATCTCGGCTCACTACAAGCTCCACCTCCCGGGTTCACGCCATTTTCCTGCCTCAGCCTCCCGAGTAGCTGGGACTACAGGTGCACACTGCCACGCCCAGTTAATTTTTTTGTTGTATTTTTTCAGTAGAGACGGGGTTTCACCATGTTAGCCAGGATGGTCCCAATCTCCTGACCTCGTGATCTGCTCGCCTCATCCTCCCAAAGCGCTGGGATTACAGGCGTGAGCCACCGTGCCCGGCCACAAAGAAGCTATTATTTCTATTCTGATCATATTGTTACCTTGTGTTTAGATATGCCCTCATCCATTTTTGTGGTTATACCAGAATATCTGAGACAGGTGGTTTATAATGAACAGACATTTATTGGCTCACAGTTCTGGAGGCTGGAAGGTCCAAGATCAAGGTGCCTGCATGTGTGAGGATCTTCCTCCTACATCATCACATGGCAGAAAGTGAGAGCGCAAGAGAGAGACAGAAAAGGGGGCTGAAGGCACCCGCTTATAACAAACTCACTCCCAAGACAATGGTTTAATCCATTTATAGAGTGGAGCCTTTGGGATTTAATCACCCCTCAAAGGTCCTACCTCTTAATACTATACAATGACAATGAAATTTATTTTTATTTTTATTTATTTATTTTTTGAGATGGAGTCTGGCTCTGTCGCCCAGGCTGGAGTGCAGTGGTGGATCTCGGCTCGCTGCAACCTCTGCCTCCCAGGTTTAAGCATTTCTCTTGCCTCAGCCTCCTGAGCAGCTGGGACTATAGATTTCACCATGTTGGTCAGGCTGGTCTTGGACTCCTAGCCTCGAGTGATCTGCCCGCCTCGGCCTCCCAAAGTGCTGAGATCACAGGCGTGAACCACTGCACACAGCCTGAAATTTCAACATGAGTTTTGGAGGGGACAAATGTTCAAACCATAGCAAAAGACATTTTTTAAAGTTATTGTTCAGCATCAGGCCACAACCCTGGGAGGATAAGTCTGATTATCTCTATATTTTACAGGTGAAAATATTAAAGTTAGGTTGTTTTAATGACTTGCTCCAGATTGCCAAACCAGTGATTAGAAAACTTCAGAAATTATCTCCTTCTTTTAGCTTTAGGACTCTTAAGGTAAATTATAGGCTCAATTACTTCATCAGTAAACATCCAACAACTAGAAATAAATGGAAGAGGAGAACCTGAAGCCATTTAGAAACTGTCAGGAAAACTCATTGTAAAATACAATCAAACTGATCTGATGAGTAAACCAATCCTATTATTTTCTGATATCCCCTTTGCAGAAAATGTTTAAACATTCCATATGGGCACAGAGGAATTCTAAAGAGATGTTCGGTGATTGGCAGATGGATAGATCTTTGTCCATTCACTTGTGCAGCTTAAGCCCAGTCTCTTTCAAACTTTTGGACACGTAGAGTCACCTCTCCTTAGGAGGTCATAAAATCTCTATCTTTCAAGTATCTAAAGCAGACCTTCTCCTAACTGGCTGGTGGGGTTCCTATCAGAAACAGTTCTAAGCCAGTTTGGCCATGCACGCAGACCAGACAGATTGGACACCATCAAAGTTTTGCAGCAGATGTGGTACCACTGAATAGAGCACACACCCATTCCATTAAGAGAGCTTCCAATGGAGCTTTCTCCACCCCACATACTACATCTTTCTTTTTTTCTTTTCTTTTCTTTTTTTGTTTTTGTTTTTCTTTTTTGACATGGAGTTTTGCTCTTGTTGCCCAGGCTGGAGTGCAATGACGTGATCTCGGTTCACTGCAACCTCTGCCTCCTGGGTTCAAGTGATTCTTCTGCGTCAGCTTCCAGGGTAGCTGGGATTATAGGCATGCACCACCACACCTGGCTGATTTTGGATTTTTAGTAGAGACAGGGTTTCTCCATGTTGGTCAGGCTGGTCTCGAACTCCTGACCTCAGGTGATCTGCCCACCTTGGCCTCCCAAAGTGCTGGGATTACAGGTGTGAGCCAGTGCACCCAGCCTCTTTCTTTTTTTTTAATGCATACCTCTGTGTCTAGAAGAAGGTTGGTAGCAACTAAAGGCCAATTTTACTCACACAGCTTAGGAAGAGGATAGAAATCGAATACCAGGGCTCAAACTTAATATCTTGGCCATGAAACTGTGAAAGCTGTCAGAATCAAAATGGCATCACTAATGTTAAGAAACCTATGACAAATAGAGTTGGGGAGACCATGAAGAAAGGGTTCTTACACTTGTATGCCTGATAAACTATCATCTCAAATATTATTGATGCTATGATAAGGGGAAAGAGAGTTTTGAAGGACCTTACACTGGCAATTTAATGCTCTCTTCTAAAAACAATCACCCTTTCTGTTCATAGCTTATTGGTCAGGACTAATCACACAGTTCTACCCAACCTTAAGGTGGCCGAGAGGTGCATCCACACAGGTGCCCTGAAAGCAGAGAGCCAGAAATACTTGGTGAACATGACTAAGGACCATCGTCACATTGGATAAGGGCTTGAGGTCTAAGTAACAAATACGAAGAAGAATAAATCAGCATTGAAAATGATTTAAAGAAAAACAAACCTTTGGGCAGAATTTTTAGGAAAAAGAGAAAACAAGGCTAGGTTAAAACTGTAATAGAAGAAGATATGAAGGCATCGTGTATTCCAGGAAAGTTGCTTTCCTTAATGTTGGGAGACATTAATGTATTCCTTAATGCTGAGGGACTTAAAAATCATTTATTTCCTTGTAAATGTGTATGATTTCAAATGCTTACATTGCAACCTGCAGAGAAGATGTAATAAAAATGAACTCATAAATATTCTTAAGTGTTGGTGATAGAGAATATATGCCTACAGAATATATGATAAAGATTCTATGAAACTACAATATTATACAAAGGCTGTCATAACCTTACACACACACAAATGTTTTTGCAAGGACTGCCCAGGAACTGCCTGCCCAGCCTCAGAACGGTGTCATCCTTGTTATTGATCTTTGTAGCCAAGGATAATTACTTCAAAACAGTTATGTAATCCTCTTCATTTTTTCCTGTAAAAACCTTCATCTTCTTTTACCTCCCTGAATATGCACATAGTTTACTATGGCATCCTGATTCCCATTGCAATGCTGTATTCCCAAATAAACTTTTCCTTTCTTTTAGAGAGCCTCTTTCTGTTGTTCAGGATGACAAAACCTATAAGGGGCTTCTGAGCCCCCATTCAGAAAGTAATAAGTGGGAAGGAAACCCTATGTCCCTCATTTGCCTGACCATGTATGGAGCTCAGTCTGGCGTTCCAGCTGAGATGCAATGTCTTGTCAGTTCCAATAAAAGAACTCTGAGCCCCTACCTAAGGAACAGGGGCTGAGGAGGTAAGTCCATGACTCCAATCAGCTGGATCAAATCTGGCTAGAGATCCAGGATGCATGTCAGGAGCATCACCCTGAAATTCATTTCTTCCATCCTTTCTCTAACAGAATGGGACTGTACAGGACAGTCAGAGAAATTCTCAGGGAGATGATTCCAGAGTCATTAAAGGCAACATTTTCTTCGAAATCAGGAGGTAGTCAGCAGTTTCCTCTTCTAAAAAGATTGCAAATGCTGCCAGATATTGTCCGCAAGGGTTTTCATGAGCCACAGACAGTTTTAACAAAGATTCTACCTTTAAGACAGGGAATTAGGGAATGTTTATATCCTCATGGTTATGGGAAAAAAAAATCAACATTATAAACAGCTATTTGTCAATTATATTAGCAGTTCTATGTCTTTTTTTTTTTTTTTTTTGGAGACAGAATCTTGCTCTATCACCAAGGCCAGGGCCAGAGTGCAGTGGCGCAATCTTGGCACACTGCAACCTCCACCTCCCGGGTTCAAGTGATTCTCTTACATGAGCCTCCCGAGTAGCTGGGATTACAGGTGCCTGCTACCAGGTCCGACTAATTTTTTTTGTATTTTTAGTAGACACAGGGTTTTACCATGTTGGCTAGGCTGGTCTCGAACTCCTGACCTCAGGTGATCCACCTGCCTCAGCCTCCCAAAGCGCTGGGATTACAGGTGTGAGCCACTGCATCCAGCCAGTAGTTTTGTGTCTTTTTATATTGTTTTTATATTAATCGTCTAATTAGGTTTTGTTAAATATTTTATTAACCATGTAAAGAAGATTTAACTTACAGAAAAATCATTTTTTAAATGGAAATAGGTAATAAACTCCCTAAATTTGTCATGCCTATGGAGGATGGCGTTTAGGGACCACAGAACATGGAGTAAAGTTTATTTGGTTTTATGTGTGGAAGCCAAAGATAAACAAAATTTCTCCTTGTATTATGGCTCTAAAAACACAAGCTTATCAAGTAAAATAAAACTTCCAAAAATGGAATTCCAGATCCAACAAATACAACGTGTCCGACTACTAGAATCTGTTTTTGCTGACAGCATTTCTACCACCGAATGTGTGGGGTTTTCCACAAGAACAAACAATTCTCCGTCTCCCTGGACACACAAACTAGGTGCCTAACAACGTATTTCAGTTCTGACCCTAACTACCTCACAACCTGAAGGTTTAACTTGTGCATCAGATCCCACAAGTTTAAGAGCTTGCTCTTCAATTTGAAGATTGCCCCACTTCAAATGCCAGGTGCAATTCCAGGCCTCTTGTACTTTCGACCGTACTATAAATCGGGGTTCCTACAACCGTCTCCTTGCCTTTGCTAGAAAGGCTTACAGAGAAATTCAGGAAAACAGCTTACTTACTATTACCATTTATTATAAAGGATACTTCTCAGAAACAGGCAAATGGGCGATGCATAAGACAAGGTATGGGAGGTAGGGGATGGAGCTTCCTAGGGGTGCCAGCCTCCCAGAACCTAGATGTGTTTGCCAACCCAGAATCTCTCTGAACCCCACTGTTTAGGATATTTATGGAAGTTCCATTACACAGTCATTATCGATTAAATCATTGGCTATTAGTGACTCACTTACTCTCTAGCGCCTTTCCCCTCCCTGGAGGTCAGGGAGTTTGGGCTGAAGGTTACAGCCCTCTCATCACAGGATTGGTTCCTCTGGCATTCAGCCTCCATCCTGAAGCTATCTAGGGACACTCACTCATTAGCATAAACTCAGATATGGTTGAAAGGGGCTTATTGTGAAAACCTAGTATTTGATAGCACAACAGGGTGACTACAGTCAATAATAACTTAATGGTGCATTTTAAAATAAAGATTATAATTGGATTGCTTGTAACTCAAAGGATAAATGCTTGAGGGGATGGATACCCCATTCTCCATGATGTGCCTATTTCACTGCATGTCTGCATCAAACTATCTCATGTATCCTATAAATATATACATCTACTATGTACTCACAGAAAATAAAATTAAAAAATTTAAGGGCTTATTATGAACAACAAAAGATGCTCCTTTCATTCTATCACTGAGTAAATTCCAAGGGTTTTAGAAACTGCCAGGAACTGAGGGTAAAGACCAAACATATACCATATTTCTTATTATATCACATTATCACAATGTGCTTTGGCTTAATAGACAAATAAGTTGGAAAATAACGAAAAGACTAGAGTTTTCTTTGAATTTTTGGAGGGCTACTCTCAATGAATATTTCTCATTTATGTTATCAAGTTATGCTTTTGGTGGAAACAGCCACTGATTTGGCAATGCATAGAGTGAAACACAGCCTCAATTCTGGCCCTCCCAAATGCCATTAAATAACTGAAATGTGATTAAAGTTTTAGATGTTACAGAACCTTGCCAAAATTCATTAGCCCCCAAAATCACCTCCAGTAATGTACTTGCCATTCTACAAAGAAGCAATGATAGGTGAAACTCAGGAGATGCCTTGAGTAACCTTGAAGTTCTAGGTTGGAAATGCAAGATATTACGCCCAAGTTTTATTTCCATTTATTTTAAGTAATGGTTCTGCTTATAATAAAAACAAGGACAGAGTCTGTGTTTATTTGCCTTATACATTCCAGAATTTCATTTCCAGGTCCATAACTATGTGTTAGAATGATGAGATCTTGGAGTGTCAGGCTAGGTGAGGTTGGGCTATGGTAACAACCTCCCCCCTAGGTGGACTATTTTTCTCTTATGCTTCAAGACCATTGTAGGTTTGCAGGGTGCTCTGTTCTTTGTCTCCTCATTCTAGGAATAATATTGTCAGAGCAACTATCATCTCAAATATTATCGTTGCTATGATAAGGGTAAAAAAGAGTTTTGGAGGACCTTACACTGGCAATATAATGTTCTCTTCTAAAAACAACAATCACCCTTCCCGCTCATAGCTTATTGGTCAGGACAAATCACACAGTTCCACCCAATCTTAATGTAGCCAAGAGGTGCATCCACACAGGTGTCTTGAAAGCAGAGAGCCAGAAATACTTGGTGAACATGACTAAGGACCATCGTCACACTGGATAAGGGCTTGAGGTCTAAGTAACAAATACCAAGAAGAATAAATCAGCATTGAAAATGATTTAAAGAAAAACAAACCTTTGGGCAGAACTTTTAGGAAAAAGAGAAAAAAAAGGCTGAGACAAAACTGTAATATGAGAAGATAGGAAGGCATCGTGTATTCCAGGAAAGTTGCTTTCCTTAATGTTGGGAGACATTAATGTATTCCTTAATGCTGAGGGACTTAAAAATCATTTATTTCCTTGTAAGTGTGTATGATTTCAAATGCTTACATTGCAACCTTCAGAGAATAAGTAATAAAAATGACCTCATAAATATTCTTAAATGTTGTTGAGAGAGAATATATGCCTAAAGCATATAAATAGGGGACAGGCCTTTTTTCGATTCTGGATATATATGTCATATGAACAGGGAAAAAGAGGATGATCCCAGAACCAAGCAAATTGCCTGACACCTATGACAAATTCTAAGTATTTGTTGAACAAAGGATTCTTTTGTATAAGGAAAGTATGTTTTTACAGAGAAATTCACAGACTTGAAGATGACACCTAGAACAGTACCTGCCTGGTGCCTGGTAGTTTCTGGGTTGTATGTATTGTATTGAATTGTAAGTGTTGAATCAGTGAATGAAGACAGAAAACGTGAGTGTACATGAAAGGGGAGAAAGAGAGAAGAGATACTGAAAGGAGAACACACAGTACACCCAACCAAGCAGAGAAAGTGGACAAATGATCAAACATGAAAAGAAAAATGTACAGAGAGGTAAGACACGGTAACATTAGGCTTCTCCAGCTAAGTTGACATCTGTTCTGCAGAAAACAGAACATCTGGTTATAAATTATTTGTTGACCCTGGCCACAATTTTATCTCTCAATTACAGAGGATGGCAGGGAAGCTTCTATTCCAAACTCAAGTTTCTTTTTCATTCAAAAGTATTAGTAATTTGGAAATTAAAAGGAAAAATATTTAGACAAAATATTCTTGAAGTTTATCCTACAATGGCTTATGAACACTAGACACAGATAACCAGACATACATTGACATAGGGAAGCAGACATCAAAACTTTAGAAAAATTAAGGTTTTCATTCCATGAACAAAACTTCTGAAAGCATAACCCACAAAGATGAAGTCTTATTTTAAAAATGTACTCCTGACCATCAAAACGCCATCAGAAGAATTAATACTGGCTATTGACAGGAACACTCTGATTTTAAAGGTGATACACAGTTTATTTTTTGCACATTTTATTTATTTTTTTCTTATACTTTAAGTTCTGGGGTACATGTGCAGAATGTGCAGGTTTCTTACATTGGTATACATGTGCTATGGTGGTTTGCTGCACCCGTCAACCCATCATCTACATTAGGTATTTCTCCTAATGCTCTCCCTCCCCCCGCCCCCCACCCCCTGACAGGCCCCAGTGTGTGATGTTCCCCTCCCTGTGTCCATGTGTTCTCATTGTTCAACTCCCACTTATGAGTGAGAACATGTGGTGTTTGGTTTTTTGTTCTTGTGTTAGTTTGCTAAGAATGATGGTTTCCAGCTTCATCCATGTCCCTGCAAATGACATGAACTCATCCTTTTTTATGGCTGTATAGTATTCCATGGTGTATATGTGCCACATTTTCTTTACCCAGTCTATCATTGATGGGCATTTGGGTTGGTTCCAAGTCTTTGCTATGGTGAACAGTGCTGCAATAAACATACATGTGCATGTGTCTTTATAGCAGAATGATTTATAATCCTTTGGGTATATACCCAGTAGTGGGATTGCTGGGTCAAATGGTATTTCTGGTTCTAGATCCTTAAGGAATAACCACACTGTCTTCCACAATGGCGGAAATAATTTACACTGCCACCAACAGTGTAAAAGCGTTCCCATTTCTCCACATCTTCTCCAGCATCTGTTGTTTCCTGACTTTTTAATGCTCGCCGTTCTAACTGGCATGAGATGGTATCTCATTGTGGTTTTGATTTGCATTTCTCTAATGACCAGTGATGATGAGCATTTTTTCATATGTTTGATGGCTGCATAAATGTCTTCTTTTGAGAAGTGTCTGTTCATATCCTTCACCCACTTTTTGATGGGGTTGTTTGTTTGTTTCTTGTAAATTTATCTGGATATTAGCTCTTTGTCAGATGGATAGATGGCAAAAATTTTCTCCCATTCTGTAGGTTGCCTGTTCACTCTGATGATAGTTTCTTTTGCTGACAACACAAATTTTTTTGAAAGAATATCTAGTTTATTTTATATCATCCTCTAAAAATGTCAGCTTTTATGTGTTTTACAATTCCTATACATTAGTACAGTAGTTATGTATAAAATTTACATATATATAATCATATACACAAAGGTGTGAAATGTACACATGCAAATGAAAGAGTGATAAAACACACCTTCATGGACCTACCAACCAGCTTCAGAAATAAAGCATTACCACTAACTTAGAAGCTCTCTGGAGACCTTTTCCCTGAACCCTAGGTGACCACTATCCTGGATATTGTGTTGATAATTAGCTTCTTTGCTTCATAGGTTGGTTTTTTTTTTTTTTTAAATCACATGTGAATGTATCTCTAAGCATTGTTTAGTTTTCCCTGATTTGAATGGTAGCAAATTGAATTTATACTGTATGTATTCTTCAGTGACTTGGCCCTCTCAACTAAACTTTGTGTCTTTGACACTTGTTCATTAATGCATGTGGCTATAGTTCATTCATGTTCACTATTGTATAGGATTCCAGTGTATGTATATGCCTCAGTCTTATTGTCTTTTTACTGGTAATGATGAGTTGTTTTCAGCATTTTGTTCTCAGGAACAAGGCTGCTGTGAGCATTTTTTCTATATCTCTTGGTATGTATTCAAGAAGCTCTCTAGGGTATATACCTGGAGATGAAATTAATAGGTCATAGATATGTGTATGTTCAACTTCACTTTTTAAAATCTGATGGGCTTTTGCCAACAGTAGGTGAAAGTACATGTTGTTTTTCCATTTTTGACAACCCTTGATATTATCTGACTTTTAAATTTTGCCAATTCAGTACAACACACATTTTTTAAGCTTCATGAAGGTCAAAGCCTCAAATGAACTGAAGTCCATGATAAAAGCTAAAAGCCCAATGTAGACACTTTGTAAAAAAGTAAGATAAAGGTGATGATGGGCTCATGATGGCCGATGGGAAGCAGGACTAGATTCCACCTCTGGACAGAGCGGTGTGTGGAGGCTTGTATTGTGAATTTTAGCTCCAGATTGAATGCAAGAAAAAAGCAGCAATCCCTAGAGGACCTACAGACCCTCTGAAGGAAGCAGACTGCTCCTGAAGGACTTAGGAGACATCCCAAATACGGTGAGTGCCCCAACTGTGGAAGTGGGAAAGAGGGACCATCATCTTTTGAACACACACCCCCACTGGAGAAGCTGAAGTTCTGTTTGCAGGGGAAGTTTCCAACTTTACCTGGAGCTGAGTCAATGCAGGCAGCCGAGCGAAACACAGGAGTAGAGGTAGCAGCAGAAGGGCCCTGGGGGTTCACTGCATCTCCTAGCAGGCCATTCCTGCCTGGCCTGGCACCACAGGGATCCATGGGGAGAGCAGCCAGAGGAGCAGGACTAGAACTCCACAGAGGGAAGGAAATCTCTAGCTGAACTTTGTAACAGTTTGAACAGGGTGAGAAGCCTCCTGGCCAGATCTCAGGGGAGGGCGCAAATCCAGTATGCAGACTCCACATGCAGGGGAAGAACCAAGCCCATTTATTTCGCAACTGGGAGGCAGGTAGCCTGGGGTAAGTTTTCAAGCCCATCTTGCCCTCCTCCTGCAAACAGACTCGGGGCTGTTGCAGGGGCCGTGGTGGGAGTGAGACCAGCCCTTCAGTTTGCGTGGCAGCTGGGTGAGGCCTGTGACTGCCACCTTTCCCCCACTTCCCTGGCAACCTGCATGTCTCAGCAGCAGCTGCCATAATCCTCCTAGGTACACAACTCCGGTGACCTGGGAATCTCACCTTCATCCCCCAGAGCAGCTGCAGCAGGACCCACCAAAGGAGAGTTTGAGCTCAGACAGCCAAACCCTGCCCCCACCTGATGGTCCTTCCCTATCCACCCTGCTAGCTGAAGACAAAGGGCATATAATCTTGAGTTCTAGGGCCCCACCTACCACTGGTCCCTCTCCACACTGCTATAGCTGATGCTTTCTAGAAAGCGCCACCTCCTGGCAGGAGACCAACCAGCACAAAAATAGAGCATTCAACCACCAGAGCTAAGAACCCTCACGGAGTCCATTGCACCCCACCCTGCCACCTCCCCGGAATAGGCACTGGTATCCACAGCTGAGAAACCCATAGACGGTTCACATCACAAGACTCTGCAGACAACCCCCAGTACCAGTCCAGAGTTGGGTAGACTTGCTGGGTGGCTAGACCCAGAAGAGAGACAAAAATCACTGCAGTTCAGCTCACAGGATGCCACATCCATAGGAAAAGAGGGAGAGTACTACATCAAGGGAACAGCTTGTGGGACAAAAGAATATGAACAACAGCCTTCAGCCCTGGACCTTCCCTCAGACAGAGCCTACCCAAATGAGAAGGAACCAGAAAACCAACCCTGGTAATACGACAAAACAAGGCTCTTCAACACCCCCGCAGAATCACACTAGTTCACCAGCAATGGATCCAAACCAAGAAGAAATCCCTGATTTACCTGAAAAAGAATTCAGGAGGTTAGTTATTAAGCTAATCAGGGAGGGACCAGAGAAAGGCAAAGCCCAATGCAAGGAAATCCAAAAAATGATACAAGAAGTGAAGGGAGAAATAGTCAATGAAATAGATAGCTTAAAGAAAAAACAATAAAAAATTCAGGAAACTTCAGACACACTTTTAGAAATGCAAAATGCTCTGGAAAGTCTCAGCAATAGAATTGAACAAGTAGAAGAAAGAAATTCAGAACTCTAAGACAAGGTCTTTGAATTAACACAATCCAACAAAGACAAAGACAAAAAGAATAAGAAAATATGAACAAAGCTTCCAAGAAGTCTGGGATTATGTTAAATGACCAAACCTAAGAATAATCAGTGTTCCTGAGGAAGAAGAGAATTCTAAAAGCTTGGAAAACATATTTGGGGGAATAATTGAGGAAACCTTCCCCAGCCTTGCTAGAGACCTAGACATGCAAATACAGGAAGCACAAAGAACAACTGGAAAATTCATCACAAAAAAGTTATTTGCCTAGGCACACTGTCATCAGGTTACCCAAAATTAAGATGAAGGAAAGAATCTTAAGAGCTGTGAGACAGAAGCACCAGGTAACCTACAAAGGAAAACCTATCAGATTAACAGCAGATTTCTCAGCAGAAACCCTACAAGCTAGAAGGGATTGGGGCCCTATCTTCAGCCTCCTCAAACACAACAATTATCAGCCAAGAATTTTGTATGCAGCAAAACTAAGCATCATATATGAAGGAAAGAGACAGTCATTTTCAGACAAACCAAAGGCTGAGAGAATTTACCATTACCAGGCCACCACTACAAGAACTGCTAAAAGGAGCTCTAAGTCTTGAAACAAATCCTGGAAACACATCAAAACAGAACCTCTTTAAAGGAGAAATCTCACAAGATTGTCTGTTTTGCTGGGAAGGCAGTAACAATATGCAGATGGAAGTGTGCTCTGTCAACTGGTCAGATGACATGAGCATGTTATAGGGGTTTGTTGGACTTGTTTGTTTGCAGGGAGGGTTTGTGAAGTCCCCCTGTGGCTCCATTTCCAACCAACAGCAACCCTGTAAATGTCTTCTGCAAGGACTTAGAACCAGGATAGCAGGAAGGGTCTTGTGAGCTTACAGTAGGTAAACAGAAAGATGCCTCTAATCCTGAGGCTACAGTAAGGTAAGGACAGGAAATTGGATGTAAGAAATTTGGAGCCGTCTTAGGGGTCACACTGCTGCTGTGGAAGCTATGAGATCTCTCTTTCCCTTTCTTGCACAGCACTAAATATCTGTGATAGTCATTTGGGACTTAAAGTCTAGTATTCACAGACATAAATTCCTCTTTCTCTGTCCTTGATTATTTTATTCTCCCTGTTCATCTCATTGTTTTTTTCTCTTCACGTGAACTGAAGCTGATTTCTAAATGTACTTCATTTTCTGCCTCCCTCCCTTTCTTCCTAACTTAAGACTGCAAAATTTTCTATTGGGAACCTAGCTGTTTCCCACTGCTATATATGGTTGAAGTATATGGTGCAAATCCTAATGGCATTGATGTGTGGGTTTTTCCAAATTATCCCTGATTACAGATGCTGCTGTATCCTGAATCTTTTCCTGGCTCTCTGTTACACGGACAGCCATACACCATATTAAGCACTCAAATATCACTATATCACTACCCACTTTTTTTTTTTTTTTTTTTGGGGAGACAGAATCTCACTCTGTCACCCAGGTTGGAGTGCAATGGCATGATCTTGGCTCACTGCAACCTCCACCACGCCTGGCTAATTTTTTGTATTTTTAGTAGAGACAGGGTTTCACCATGTTGGCCAGGCTAGTCTCAAACACCTGACCTCAGGTGATTCACCCACCTCAGCCTCCCAAAGTGCTGGGATTACAGGTGTGAGCCACTGCACCTGGCCCACTACCTATTTAAAACAAAATCTTGTGTAGCCCACTCCCATGACCACTACTATACTACCCAAGAAATGTGCAGCCCACTGGTGAGATAGAATAGTCTTAGATGACTTCTGGATCTAAACATTAACATTAAAGGAAAACAATTGAACTGAGAAATCCAGAGAGATTCCTCAATGTTAAAAATTTGACTCAACTGAGACCCTGTCTCTGCCAAAATTATTTTTAAAAAGTTACCCCAGGTGCACTTGGTTTCGCAGGTCATCTGCTTGGCTCTCTTCCAAGTTGTACTTTCCTTCTTTTCTTTCCTTTCCTTCCTTTCCTTACTGTTCTAAAGCTTTTTAATAAAGATTCACTCCTGCTCTTAAAAGAATAAAAACGTTAGCTCAGTATGGTGGCGCATGCCTGTGGTCCCAGCTACTCAGGAGGCTGAGGTGAAGTTGGGGGCGGAGGCTGCAGTGAGCTGTGATCACGTCTTTGCACTCCAGCCTGGGTCGCTTGAGAGAGACTCTGTCTCAAAAAATTGTTGACTAAGTTTTGATGTTTAGATCCTAGGTATGTAGTATATAGGATATGATAAACAAATAAACCTTTTCAAGTTTAGAGAAAAGTAAAGTCACAGAGATGACTTTTAACAGGAGTCTTTTTGGCTACAACTGTACAAAAAATTCACTCTGGCAATGGATTACCATAAGGTCTACTGTGTCAGGCTAATTCAATTTAATTCTAAGCTTCTGAGCACAGATGCTTAAAACAAAGGGTGGGAGGTGCTCATGGAAACAGATGAATGTGGGAACCAGGACTGTGATAAATTAAGCAAAGCTTTAATATGGTGATAAGGAAGTTTTTGTTTAGGTTCAGAATGTGCATGAATGTAGAAACTCTGATAACTTCTAATATTTGGTGAGTGCAAAACAGCTGATAATTCACTCTTTGAGGTAATAAAGCAAAGGAAGTCTTAATTTGACATTGTATCTATAACACATTCCGTGGTGCCTTAAAAGGAAACAGACTGAAGAACCGAACAAGACAGCCCCCAGGGTCTCTCCAGCATGTGTCAACAACATTAAGAGAATCTTTATAGGAGGAGGAGGAAGAACTGCTCACATTGTATCCAGGATAAAACAGCTCTGTGGGATTTTCCTGAAAGACCAAGCACCAGTCCGTGTTGGAGGTTGGGCTTAAACATAGAGGAAGTCAAGCCTACAGAGTACTTCTTAGTTCCAATAATTTCCAATAATCTTATTCCGTAGTGACTGTGAGGATATCAAAAGCCCTGTAGACCCTTTTATGGCTTATTTATGCTGTCCGTACATTCATCCATTTCTTATAACCTCACTAGCATTATTTATGACTTTCCTTTTGCCCCATGGTTCATGTTGTTTTTATAGCTAATGGTAAGTATGGTTCCTCAACTCTATGATTGTTTTCTGCTTGCTTTAAAGAAGATTCAGTTGGAATAAGGTAAGTGCACATACACACATACGTTCTACAGTGAGTACAGGTTTTGGAGACAGGTTGCTTAGATTCAGCTCCCATTTCTGTCCATACCTACTAGCTAGACCACCTTGGATAACTTGTTTTTCTGTCTATAGAAGAAAATAATAGTAATAATATCTACTTCATAGTAATGCTATGGGTGGAAAACAATGCTAAATGTGAAATGCTTATCATTATTACTCATTATAATTGCCGTTTACTGACAACCGTTTCATACTGTCTGACCTTCCAAAGAGGTTATCATCCTGATTTTCTTGGGATGTTAAACTCATTCTCATTTGATGTGGGAGTAAATCAAGTAAAATTTGACCTTCATCTTCATTTTTCAGAAAGTAAGTGGAAAAGATAGGTACATTTATATGCTGATACATTTCACGTAAAAATGTAAATCTATAATATGGGCCAGTATATTGGCAGAGATTCAAGAAAGATTTCAAGAGAATCTTCTAAAGGTAGCACAAATTCATTCTCAAAATTAGAATTTAGAGCAGAATTCATGAAATGGTCTTCCATTGTACAACTCTTAAGATTTATTTTCTATTTTTCATATTAAGTTCATGCAAACATTTATGGGATAAACGTGAAAACACTTTCAAAGAACTTGAGAACGCTTTAGAAGAAAAATGTCAAGAAATGTTCAATGATGTTTCACATTTCCACATTGCACAAGATAAGAAATTTCTGGCTGAGCATGGTGGCTCAAGCCTGTAATCCCAGCACTTTGGGAGGCAGAGGCGGGTGGATGATGAAGTCAAGAGATCAAGATCATCCTGGCCAACATGGTGAAACCCTGTCTCCGCTAAAAATACAAAAAATTAGCCGGGCTTGGTGGTGGGCGCCTGTAGTCCTAGCTACTCGGGAGACTGAGGCAGGAGAATGGCGTGAACCCGGGAGGCAGAGCTTGCAGTGAGCTGAGGTGGCGCCACTGCACTCCAGTCTGGGAGACAGAGCGAGACTCTGTCTCAAAAAAAAAAAAAAAAAAAAAAAAAGATATTTCCAAAGAGGTAATTATTTAAATCTAAACTAATTCTTAATAAATTGCTAAGAGTGATAGTGGGTATTATGGAGGGACTGTATGTGACAGATATTTCCTAAATTACTGCTGTTTTTAGGAATCTTTTGTTTTAATGTCACAGAATATATTTTTAAAAATTGATTTATAAGGTGAGTTCTTATAAATAATGTTGCTCTTTTGGTACCTTTTCTGTATGTGGCCTTAAATTATTTCAAATTTCACAAAGTTTTTTTCTTCATTGCTTTCAAATTTGGGGCATCTTCAGAGTGTGCCCTAGGTTTTCAATTTCTCAGAACTACAAAAACTTTTTAAAAAGAAAAACCTGAACTGTATAAAGTACGGATTGCTAAATGCTAATGAATTTTTTTGGTTTTTTTTGTTTGTTTGTTTTTTGAGATGGAGTCTCACTTCAAGGCCCAGGCTGGAGTGCAATGGCATGATCTCGGCTCACTGCAACCTCCACCTCCCGGGTTCAAGTGAGTCTCCTGCCCCAGCCTCCTAAATAGCTGGAACTACAGGTGCACACCACTATGTCCAGCTATTTTTTTTTTTGTATTTTTAATAGAGATGAGGTTTCACCATATTGGCCAGGCTGGTCTCGAACTCCTGACCTCAAGTGATCCACCCACCTCTGCCTCCCGAAGTGCTGGGATTACAGGTGTGAGCCACTACACGTGGCCTGAAAATTTTGAACTATTCAATTTTCATCATTCCAGGTCACTAGAAACCACATAAAGCTATTACTCTAACCCCCAATATAAAGTGGCAGTGTTCATTTAGATAAGCATTGTATTCAAGTTCCTTGACAGTTTAGCTCATGTTATCAAAAACATGAGAACAGGTGATAGATTTCAATTATTTAGATAATGAAAGCTAAAAGCAAACTCACATCTTCTGATAGATATGCTAGGAAATAACATTAATAAAAAATAGCCAATTTGTGGGAAACATATCACTAGAATGTAAGTTTCATAATGGCAGGATTTTGTCTATTTTGTTTACTGACCAATCCCCCATGTCTAAAAGAGTACCCAAGAATAGTAGGCACCTAACAAACATGTGTTAAATTGTTGCAGAAATAGAGTTGAAACTAATATTTTCTCCCAACCCAGAAATTCTCCCCACAGAAGTGGTGGGGAAAGAAAATACTCTTATGATTGGGCAAGCATTAAGCTAGAATGTTATACTCATCACAGACAATCCACTAAGAGATCCACAATAACAGAAATAAATCTCACCCTTTCATATAGCCAAACAGAGATAACCCATGGCATACATATTTTCAAGGGAAACAATGACTATTCCTTAAGTTACCGACAGCATCATTTGTCACACATAGTTCATCCTAAATTTACCTGGTAGTTGGGGTGACTATCTGTGTTAGATAATTGGCTTTATCCGAAGGAAAAAGCAAACTTCTCATATCTTTATGACAGAAGATAGTTTTAAAAACTGCAGCAAGCTGCAAAGAGCTCAGAAAGGTTAATCTCCTATTCCTTCACAGAAAGGGGAAGATGGGGGTGCTAGTTCCAATGATGTTCTAAAGAGATGGCTTCCAGGTCCTTGAGAAAGACATTCCTGAGTCATAAAGCTGACAAAGGCCTAGGTAGTCTTCAAAAAGAGTATACACACACACACACACACACACACACACACACACACAGTTCAAAGAGAGGAGAAAATACAAGTTTTCTAAGGCAAAAGCTCTTTAAAAAAAGGAGGGGAAGGGAATCTCTTTTCTTATTTTCAACAAAGAGAAATAAGCCTCTTATTTTTAATTTGTATGTGCCTTTAAAAAAAGATGGCACATTTCTACCATCAAGAATGTGTTTTATCCCACAAACAAGCACATTCATTGCTTCAGTTGCCAATGTCAATATCTAAAGTGTTAATTTGGCCAGGCTCAGTGGCTCACATCTATAATGCCAGCACTTTGGGAGGCTGAGACGGGTGGATCACCTGAGGTCAGGAGTTCAAGACCAGCCTGGCTAACATGGCGAAACCCTGTCTCTACTAAAAGTACAAAAATTAACCAGGTGTGGTGGGGGTGCCTGTAGTCTCAGCTACTTGGGGGGGCTGAGGCAGGAGAATCACTTGAACCTGGGAGGTGGAGGTTGCAGTGAGCTGAGATCATGCCACTGCACTCCAGCCTGGGTGACAGAGCGAGACTCCATCTCAAAAAAAAAAAAAAAGTGTTAATTAGTGTTGGGGTTTTATTATAAAAACAAGATTGGGGAAAGTCCGAATACATGATCATTTACTTTTAGTAAAAAAACAAAGTGATTTGCCTCAATGTCACCTGGGTAAACAGGACCCTAAATCATAAGCTTGCTAATTGTTCTTTCCTATCATAGCATCAGCCTGTGTGTGTGTGTAACTATGTAAACATTTATTAATGAATCTTTAAAGCTTTTATAGAATCAAGCCAGGATTTTGTAAGTAACTAAAATAGTGTTACAAAGAAATGGATTAAATTAGGGGAACTGTGTGAGAGTCTCTCACATTTTATCTTTCAACATTAGATTAATCACAAGCACAAAAATACTATCTTATTGAGCTAAAAAAATTCTTTGATTAGAGTTCTCTTAATGATGACTCCAGTTCACTTTTTATGTGTAAATCAAACCACAGGGTGCTCAGAAGATATTAATTGGCAATGAGAATAATCATTCCTTTGGGTTCAATTTACTTTCTGCTAAAACTCTCCCTGAGGTATTGGGGAGAGTCAAGAAATTCTGTTTCTTTACTCATCACCAAGTGGCCCAAGTGGAAAAAAATGACAGAGTGAAGACTTACTGTCCTGTAGTGAATAATTTTTCCCTGTTCCATTATTTATGTCTCAGATGTAAATGCAGATTAACTTGCACTAAGTTTTAGTCTTTCTTGGGTTCAAATAGCATGTACCCAGGCATTAGAAGAGTTCTCATAATCTCTGAGTGCCAAACTAAAGGATTTTCCCAACCCAGACCCATTTGCTGATCTCATCTACAATTTGGCCAAAAGATTCAAATCCTTCCATGGCGATACCCATTACTGAATACTACACGTGCCAGAGGTCGTGCCTTGGGCCCTGTATGTGTTATCTCACATAGTCTTCACAGAAGTGTGAATTTTCACAGATGAGGAAATTGAGGCTCAAGTGTTAAGTGATTTGCCCTATGCCACGTAGCTTACAAAGGACAGACTCGAAATTAAACCCAGATCTATTTAACTTCAAAGCACGCATTTGATTAAGGCATTTATCTTCATGACTGGAGAAAACTCAATTTAACTAGATACTAGTTTAGGTCCTTCAGCCAGGGCCACATTAAGGAAACCTCAAATCATTAAATATTAGCAACCTGAGAAAATAAGATTTGCTCCATTAGGGCCACATGAAAGCTACAGATAATTAAAGATGATTTGGTGTCTGCCTTGCTTTCTAGGTTTCCATTTGTGTATTTAGAGTTTCCCTTCTTCAGACAGTTTTGCAGGCCGACTTATTAGACGGACAGCATTTTTCAATTATTTTCGTCACTCTTCTGAATCCTGGTCAACAACCTCCTTTGGAAACACTGACAGTGGTGGAGCATGGGACATTTCACTTATATGAACAAATGTCTCCTGGATAATGGAATGTTGCAGCTTGAACATAATAACAAAGGCCTGTTAGCCTGTCCAATCTTTTGCTAAATCAACTTAAAGAGAAATAGAGAAAAAAGTGCCTTTTGTTCTCAGTGTGAATATGTTTGATCTAGGTTACAAGAGGTTCGTGTTCAGTTAGATAACCTGAAAGCAAGTCTTAGGTGTTGTGTCAGCAAACCCTATGAGGCTCTTCTATATAGAAGACAAGACTTACCTGCAACCAGAGCAGACATGTTAATGTGGAGAATTCCAGTGTAGACCTTTTGTTTCTGAGCAAAACTTTAGTAGAAAACAATCCATAATGCTATGGTAGAATCACAACCAGCAACACCTCCGGGTTGTAGAGCTCTGCATGGAAACTGGATGTATCCATGTTTAAGAGCCATACGAAAGGACAGAAACACAGAGAGTAATATTTCCTATGTGAAATTAAAGTTCTTTTCTTGAGTAGACAACCTGAGCCACATGACACAGGTTTCAGGAATCAGAAATAATTCTTTGCAGAAAATCAGTGATTTGAATTGTTTATTGATAAGACTGAAGCAATGGAAAGATAAGCAAATACAGAGCTAACAAATTGACCAAGGTAATTAAATATGTATTGTATGATACATATTTACAAATACAAATATGTATTTGTATACAGATATAATACAAATATGTATTATATGATAATAAATATGTATTGATTAAGTCTAGATGCTATCATACTTAGCTGTGAATGGTAATCTTGAGCATGCTTAAGGAATATGCTGAGACCAGTGTTTCCTATCCCGACATATCCCCAGTTTGCCATTTAAATAGGCTCTGAAAGTGTCACATCATAGTTGGCTGGTTTTCTCAGCTAGGTTTCAACTAGAGAGCCAGGATAAGGTAAGCATAATACAACAACCAAGAAAAGCAAAGTGAGAGAAGCCAGCACATATGCAACAAGAAGCGGCTGGTCTGCTTGAGGGTTGAACAGGGTGAAGAGGAAGATGCACTGCAGTGCGTTCTGCCAAGTCCTCTGATGTATCATGGAATAGATGAAGTGGAGAACCCCTTGGCTACATCAACTTCCGATGTGGTTGGCTTAATTCAGTGATTATCATCAATGGTTTAAAATACTTATCTCAGTTAAATACCTATTGTTTGAAACCTATCGCTTAACTATCCTAGATCCTGGAACTACAGACAAACCATCTTAGGGTCTCTAGAGTAGATTTATGGTGAAAGTTCTTACCCTTATATTGAGGTACCTTTTATATCCAACTGAGCTTCACCGAAAGCTGGGAATCTCCTAAGAGCCTTATGAAAACTTGTGCATGAATGTGTAAATTTATGCAATGTTATGAGAAAGAATTTCCTAAGAGATAGATTATAGATTTCATCAGCTTCTAAACAACTTTATGATTATAAGTTTAAAAACCACATTATGTAGAATTTTATCATACATAATCCAGAAAGTTAATGAAAACAAAGGAACAGGGAAGGCCCCTAACTTACTGGACTGCTGGAGTTATAAATTCAGAAGAAATATCTACTGTTTGTTTATGAATATAATTTTTAGTCTTTAGTCTCAGACAATGCAGTGAGGTACATAGTAGTCCTGCATCAAGATGAAATTTAGAAAAATTTCACAGAAGTAGTATTTGGTTTATATCCCTGTCCCTAAAAACAGCCACCTTAAGTTGGTGGCTTCATCTCTAATCAAGCAACAGTATTACATCTTCTCTGAGCCAATTTGCCTGCTGAGATTCAGAAGCTCTCTGCGTGATTCATTCTGCATAAAATCATTTGCTTTTTGCTCGCTGTAGATAATTGGTTCTTGGCACCAGAACTTAAACTATTTAGAGTCCAAGTCTGTTAAAGTGACATTGAGATTTAGCTTAAACAAACAGAATCGAAGTCAAGGATATGTTTCTTAATGCTCTTGCTTGTACCTGTTAAAATTAAATTTTAAGATGCCAGCAAGCATTTATGCTAGAAATGGAAGTGAGACACTCTGCATTCTAATCCAATGATGCATTAGATTTGGTCCACCAAGGGAGAAGAGAGAAGACTGACAGCAAGGGCAGGAGTGTTCCCTCTTTGGGAAGGCATCAAAAAGGGTGAGACGTCCTGTGGGCTAATGACACTTGGTGCACAGTCCCACCAATCACACTTTAGACATGAAGATGTCAAAGACCCTGTGAAAATAAGACTTCTAATTTGAGAGGTAGCATATTAAGCACCGACCCTGTAGGTAGCGTGTTTTATTGTAGCATATTTTATTGACAGAAGTAACCTAATAGAGAACTCTAGCAAGCTCTGGAGGAATAGGACCTCAGACAGCAGCTATATGCCACTGGAGGGCAGAAGGAGAAGTGAAAATATTTTCAACTGAGAAGTGAGTGTAAAAACGACTATAATAACTAATATTTATTAAATATAATATGATAGGCATTGCTCTAAATAATGAAAGATAAATTAATACATATAAAAGACATGCCATTCTTTGGTATATGTACATGCTTAATATGTTAATTATTATTATTAAATTACTATTTTTATTATCAAGAGAAATCTAGGCAGTCCTTATTGCTTTGTCCTGGGTCCTGAAACTAAAGACCATCAACCCCAGGGTCTTTAGAGTAGATTTACAGCAAAGGTTCTCACCCTCAGATTCAGGTGCCCTTTAAGTCCAACTGAGAATTTTGAAGTTAAATGTAATATTTATTGAGGTTTAGGATTCAATAATGGTGAACGATTTGGATTAATCCATCTTCTAAAAGCAATTGTATGTAAGTTTATATCACAAACAAACATCAGCATCTTAAAGTACGTATTAATTTGAAGAGTTTAAAAGACAACAACCCCCAGGCTAATTGATTTTTGGATGGAGGGCTATAGCTGAGAGATGAGCAGACTATTGGAGCACCAAAGCTGCATATGCCCTGAATTCATTTGCTGCAGCAGCAAAGGTGGGATCTGGCTCCTGGGTTGTGCAGGGAAGGGCAGAAGCCAAGGCCCAGGGCTCACCGAAGATGGAGGGACTGGAACCCCTCAGGGTAAGCGCAAACCAGATCTAAAGCAATCCCCATCTGTACTACCAAGGCCAGAGGACTCTGGATGAGGCTGCGTTGGGGCTGAGCAAAGCAGAAGAAAAAGAAAAAAAGTTGGAAACTTTCTAAGAGGTTGTGTGACTTCAGACCTCTGCCCTCTTGCAAGTTGCATAAACCAGTAATAATACTGTCTAATGAGGTTAAAAGACAACAACAAAGACAAGATATATCAAGGATATCAGATATAAATAACATGTAAGTTGAGAGGGTGGTAAAAAGAATGTACGTGTTCTTATGTACTTGCATTGTCTTGGAGAAGAGTAAAGATCTGGATTAATTTTGAATTTGGATTAATTAAGCATACTGTAATTTCTAGGGTAAGCACTCAAATAATAGAAATGGTGTGAAACTTCCAGACCAGTGAAAGTAAAAATCGCATAATAAAACATTTTATGCAAACCAAAAAAGGCAAGAAAGAACAGTTAAAGAAACACTGAACCACTGAACAGATGGAACAAATTAAAAATATGAAATAGAATGGCAAAATAAATGAATTTGTAATTATATGTAAACAGAATGTTGAGTTAAAACACTATTATTTTCAGACAGTATTTAAAAACAAAGCATAGCATGATAAAATATAGCAATATGCTGTTTACGAGGCAGTTTTATACAGATATATTCAGGAAGGCTGAATGTAAAAATAGAGAAAAGCATGAACAACATAAACACTAAAAAAGAGTTAGTGATGCCAAACTTAAAGTCAAAGAACATTCCTCCTGATGAAGAGGTCCATTTCATAGGGGTAAAATTTCCATTTACCATTAAGATGCAATCATTTTTAATTTATAAGCACCAAGTAACATAGCCTCAAAATATAATTTAAAAATTGACAACTAAAATAAGAAGTGATAAGTCTACAATTATAGCAGGTGATTAAAGTGCACATCCGCAGGTACCATATAACATA
The DNA here is from genome assembly GCF_000001405.40 of Homo sapiens. Classification (NCBI taxonomy): domain Eukaryota; kingdom Metazoa; phylum Chordata; class Mammalia; order Primates; family Hominidae; genus Homo; species Homo sapiens. Next base: position 242,639,453 of record NC_000001.11, on the reverse strand, counting down.
GGAAGACAAAAGACCGCTAAGTTATAAAAGATTTGAACAGCATTATTAATATACTGACTTCACAGATATGTGCTAAACATTGCACATATCAACTTCTTTGTGCTTAGAGACTTTCCACACAGCTGAGTTCTAACACTCTTTTCAGCACCCTGGCTAGGGAACTTTCCTAACAATCAAGAGTAGATATTTTATATCGAGTACACATATATAGCTTGCGTACGGTCACAGGACACATAAAAAAATTATAATATCTACTCACTTGTCCCATCTACCTCAGGCCCTGCTCAAGTGCTCTAAGGGCTGAGGAGAGCAATATCTCAGAGCACCTTTAACTCATTCATGGGCTGCCAGTTTGCCCAACACAGTTGGAAAACTATGGCTTAGAGCATTCTCAGAGGCTGTGAGTGTGGGGGAGTGCTGGACTTTTTGCCACGGTATAGTCACAGGTTACCAAACTTCATATCCTGTGTTTCATTTGGAAAACCTTAAAATGCGTCTCTGGGCTGCAACCTTTCTCTATACCACTCCCTTCGTGGTAACAAGACTCCAGCATGATCCGCAGTGATACCCCCACGTCCACTCTGCTGCGTAGTCTCCTCCCACAGTGACTAGGCTGACCTGCGTCAGCAGTAACATGCTGCAGTCATGACAGTGTGACTTCTGGGGCATTGCACTGTCCGCCTTGTTCTCTTTGGGATCGCTCACCTGGGGAAGCCAGCCAGTGTGTTGTGAGAATACTTTAGCGTCCCCTGGAGAGGTTCACATGGTGAAGATCCAAGGCCTCCCACCAGCAGCCAGCACCAACTGACTAACTTGCCAGCCATAGGGGCGAGCCATCCTGGAAGCAGATCCCAATTCCAGTTCAGTTTTCAGATGACTGCAGCCCCAGCTGACATCCTGACTGCAACATCATGGGAAACCCTGAGCCAGAACCACCCAGCTAAGACAATCCCAAATTCCCTATCCACAGAAACAGCGAGATAACATTCTTGTTGTTTTAAGACTCTGAATGTTGAGGTAGTGAAACCACATCCCAAAGAGTTAAAGACACCAATTACTACCATAAATTCTTTTACTTTTCTGGGCTAAATTCACCATCTTTTTAAATTTTTATTTTTTATTATTTTTTTTGAGATGGAGTCTCACTCTTTCACCCAGGCTGGAGTGCAGTAGCGTGATCTCGGCTCACTGCAACCTCCACCTCCCTGGTTCAAGCGATTCTCCTGCCTCAGCCTCCTGAGTAGCTGGGATTACAGGCGTGTGTCACCACACCTGGCTAATTTTTGTATTTTTAGTAGAGACGGGGTTTCATCATGTTAGTCAGGCTGATCTCGAACTCCCGACCTCGTGATCCACCCGCCTCGGCCTCCCAAAGTGCTGGGATTACAGGCATGAGCCACTGCGCCCGGCCTTAAATTCACCATCTTATCGGGTGCGGCTTGTGGTGCCCCAAAACAATGACAATAGCAACATCAAAGATCACGGATCATAGATCATCATAACAGATACAATCATAGAAAAATTTTGATACATCGCAAGAATTACCGTAATGTCACACCAAGACATGAAGTGCGCACATACTGTTGGAAAAATGGAGCCAATAGACTTGCTTGATGCAGGGTTGCCAGAAACCTCCCATTTGTAAAACAACTTGTGAAGTGCAGTAAAGCACAGCACACAAAACAAGATATGCCTGTAGCTGGCGTCATAGAGTATGTAGCCTTTACAAATTGCTTTGTTTCACTTACTAACATGCACTTAAATTTCCTCCATGATTTTTCATGGCTTGTTTGTTCATTTCTTTTGAGTGCTGAATAGTAGTCCATTGTCTGAAAGTATCACTGTTTATTTATTCATTCACCTATAATATCTTGGTGGCTTCCAAGTTGTGATAATTGTGAATACAACTACAATATAGACATAAGTTTTCAACTCCCTTGGGTGAGTACCAAGGAGCATAAGTCTGCAGGATGGCAGATAAGAAAAGAAACAACTTGCTGAAAAGTGGAAATTCCCTCTGCTTGTGAGATAACAAAACTGCCTGCAATCATTGGAACCAATATGGCCAAGCAGAGTTTGCAGAGAAGGAGCTTGCTGCTGTCACAGCCCAAATTCCCACAGCATGTTTCATGCTAACTCCCCCCAAATTTGCACATGGGCCCCATGAGGTAGCATGGAGAGATAACTGCACATGCCTGAGGACTTCCCAGACTTCTCCTTTCCTTCCACAAATCACCTACTAATCCCAGAATCCACCCCTAAACCTTTTCTAATCAAGTTTCTGCCTTAAAGGCACACAGGAAGACGGGTTTGAGGGTTTGGGCAGGAGTCCTGTCTCTCTGTTAGTGAACTTGCAATAAAAACCTTTTTTTTCTGCAAAACCCAGTGTCATAGGCAATACTGTGACTCCTAATGCGTAGCCCAGGAAGCGCCTTTTGCTCAGTAACAGTAATTTGTTACACATCAATAGAGAATGAATGTATCTCTTTAGTAGAACATAACATCTTTCTAGCTACTCACCACATTTCAAGAGCTAAGATACCAAGCTGGCTCAAAACTACACCACAGAGTTCAGTAACTATATTGTTGTTGTTGTTTTCTCGAATTTCCTATGGGCAGGAGCAAAAATGCTCCAGATGGGTTCATGGAGATGATGGCAGGTGGAGCCTTGGTGTGGAGGGTGGTCTGAGGCCCCACCGTGTTTCTCAGGTGAAGTGATTGCTGCAATAACCATGCGTCTTTGTTGCCATAGCAACGGGCAAATTTGGTTACTAAGTTGGAAATAAGAGTGTCCAGCTATGTCTGATGTAGGCAGAGGAGAAGCCTGGAAAATCCCTGCAGAGACTTCTGGGGTATGGGGACTATGTGGGTGGGAGGGGCAAAAGATCTAAACATAAGTTCAGTCTGTGACTTAAGGGGCCCTGAGAGGCCAAAGCAGAAAGCCTGACCCTTTGTCCAGTCTGTGGGCAGAAGGTGAGCATGGAAGTAGGAGATCAAATGAAGATCCAGAACCAAGATGATAGAAGAGCATAGTAAGGAGCCAAGAACCAGGGCAGATGAAAAGCACAGAGGGTGGGGATGCTTTTGGTGCACAGAGGCTGGGCCTGAGACTCCTTTATACTGGGCATCAGCAGAGACTCTCAGATACTCCGGGAGGCCTGGACTACTTCCATTTTTTGAGGCTCTCAATAAATTACAAAAATGAGGAAAAGACCAAATAATGATATATTTTAAATGTTTATGTTTAACAAATGAACGTTTTGACAGAAGTAAATACAATGTGTGTGATGTTTGCAAGATGACTATAGATTTTATTTTTTTTAAAAGGCCAATATCTAAATCTGAATCCCCTAGTGACTGTAAGCAGTGTGCCAAATGATTTCCAGGCCTCACTCCACCAGGCAAGTTTTGGTTTCTAGCTGTTTTGTTGGGCTAGGCTGACTTAATGTAAATGTCGAAGTCTGGGGGATCAAGGCATGAGTCTGGGGGAAGAAGGCATTGAGAGGGAAGCACGGCGGATGGAAAGCAATGAAACAAATGCTATTCCCAGTGCTCCTGGGCAACTCAGGCCCGTGATCACTTAGGAAAAGCAGATCGAGTCTTCCCACAGAGTCCAATTTCACCCCAGTCTGACTTCACACTTAGCTACTGTGTTACTTTAGAAATGTAACTCACTCTTTCTTTCTGCATCTATTATTTTTCTCCTTGGAAAATGCGATAAGTTTTAAATCCATAAAGAAATCTATAGACAAATATCAGTAAATAGTCATGTGGAAACTTTCAAATTGTGTCCACTCACTTGCCAATTTATAATTAAGAGTAGCGAAAATCATAGCTAACCATAATAAAAATCATCTCTGCCCTATAAGGAATGCTTACTGTTCTACTTCAAAATCAATAGGAAACACTTTAATTATTTTATTGAAATCATTATTTTATTGAAATCATTATTTTGCTCAGTTTACAACGGAGACAATAAGGTCTTTGCATTATTCTTGCAGTGTAGGTAAAGTATCGGATGCTTCTGAAGGAAGAGTACACATGAGGCTCCACGTGTGGCCTAGACCCACTGTTGTGAACAGGAAGGCATTTCCTATTTCACACAGGACCAGCCAGCCTTGGCGGTGACCTTGCTGGGCTCTCAGGGGGAAATGTCCTGTTCTCTAAGGTCTTTTACAAAGGACTGCCAATGTCCAATAACAATAGCCATGAACTTTAAAAATATGCAATGCAATATAAATGTCACATTAATAAAATAACGTAAAACTCTTTACCAATAGTTATTGAATCCCTAACTTTTCTCCAAGAAGCTTTTGCAAGAGCATTTTAGAATGGATGTGATCAGGAGAATAAAAATTTGTTTATTTACATCACAAATCCTTTAAACACACATTCTACATTTGACGTGATCGATAGAGTTTATTTGGAATGTGTGTCGTAATAAACACACACACACGTCTGCTTAGTTATTTCTGGCTGTTTCCATAGTAGTAACTGTCAGAACATCTCATTGCTCAACACAGAAGAGTCAACGTCCTAAAACTGGTGGTTGGGAACCTTTCTGAAGCAGCTTCTGCCTCTCCTTCCCCCACAGTTTGTCCTGGTGATGGTGATATGGGGAAGCTTCCCTTTCTTGATGGTCCATGCTTAGTTCAAAGGTCTTCTGCATTTTACCTGCATTTTGCAACATGCAATTATAATGCCATCAATCTACATCATGCCTTAAGGTTGACAAATCAGAAACCACTTGTTACCTTTCCTGATCATGGTATTTCTTGGCTTATCTAATCTTTCATAATGTAATTTCTGAAAAGTAGTTTTACATTATTATGTAAATTTTGCAGTGGAATACACAGATATAAATACTCTTCTTGCAGTCTAATCTGTCTGAGGTGGATGACAGCACATCCTTTTCTCTGAAGGCGTAATGCAATTGGATATCTTTTGGTAAATTCCAAGTTCTACGTGAGCCTAAGGGCTCACTAAAGTTCATAATTAGCTGATATCTAGACGATTGCTAGTGAGCTCACAGAAATGCAAAGTAGTTTGAAAAGTTTGATGACTCTACAAATACACATTGTCCAGGAAGTGACATCACCCAACAGAAAAATGATGATAATGGCTGTTAGTGTCACTTTCAGTCACTTATACAAGGCAGTGAATCTTTTTTTTTTTTTTTTGAGATGAAGTCTCGCTCTGTCTCCCAGGCTGACGTGCAGTGGCGCGATCTCGGCTCACTGCAAGCTCCACCTCCCAGGTTCACGCCATTCTCCTGCCTCAGCCTCCCGAGTAGCTGGGACTACAGGCGCCCGCCACCACGTCCAGCTGATTTTTTGTATTTTTAGTAGAGATGGGGTTTCACCGTGTTAGCCAGGATGGTCCCAATCTTCTGACCTTGTGATCCGCCTGCCTCGGCCTCCCAAAGTGCTGGGACTACAGGCGTGAGCCACGGCGCCCAGCCAAGGCAGTGAATCTCTCTCTGAGTCTCAGATAACTCTCTAGGCATCGTCTGTCTGTGTGGGAGAGAAAGGAGGTTCACGAGGGGTTCCTAGTTCAGAGGGTTCTTCTAAGCAGTAAATAGTGCGATGTTTGTTGGGCCCTCAGCACAGTGCCTGACAGAGAGCTAGCAGTAGGCCCTCATTAGTCATGACAACTATTTTATCCACAATAAGAATGATTGAGCCGAAATCTCTCTTTGTAACTTGCACCAATTTGTTTGTGCCTGCCCTTTGGAACTCCATATGGTTCATTTAATCTCTCTTCCACTTGCTGTCTCTTTAGATCTGTCCCCTGCACTTTGCATTGTGTCCAGTGAGGGGACATTTTGTCCTCCCCTCCCTAGAATATTAGGTAGTTTCCCGGATAGGTAATACTGCCAGTGTTTTCCACTGGTGTGTACCAAGCACCTACAAGAGTACTGGGCACAATATAAGCACCCAATCAATGTTGGTTAATATCGTTGGAATAAATGAAGGAGTGAATGAAGACTTAGGGTGAAAGCCTATACATTTGGAACATTTGCCAAGAAGCTGAGAGATGCCAGCAATGAAGAAGGGTGATACATCAAGAAGGAAAAAGCCTTAAATCTGAGATTTTCACCCCATGGGCCCTGAGATATTGGAGGCATGGGAGAATAAGCAGCAATGTCTTAAGAGGGAGAACAGTAAGCTCAGAGAGAAAAGGTTTACTCTGGGCCCTAGCAGTGGAAGAAAAATGCCACATGAAAGACCAGGATGTGGGGGAGGTTGTTTACCATGGACTTGGAGGCCCAAATCTCTGGGGTAGTGCCCAGGCACTGGTATTTTTTATATCTCCCAAGTGACTCCAACGTACAGCCAAGGTTGAGAACCATTGACTTTAAAGAGCGAGTGTGGTGAACCGCAGACCTCACCTTGGCCATCCCACCACATCGAAGAACACCCCTAAGTTCTCACAGCCATCATCATACAGTCAGATGCAACAACACAAAACATAACAATAACAAACACCTCAGCTACGACCATGAAAACCAACCTAAGACAACAACACAAAAAAACCAATGAACATACGTTCACGCATCTGTCTGTGCATCGTCCCAGTAAAATCTGGGATTCAGATACAAACCTTCACAGTTCCCCGGGGATTCCCAAGGAGGACCAGCCCCTGCCTCCAGGCTAGATTGCAGTAGCAGCCCTTTCTGTGTGCTTCCATAGCTCCCTATGTATCCCCTGTGAGAACTCTTGTCACATTTAAACAATTTCTCGCTTCATATCTAACTTCTCAACTAACTGTGACCTCCATGAAGGCAAGGACTCTGTTTTGCTCATTCATTGCCATATGCCCAGGATTTAGCAAATGCCTGGCACAGAGAAGAAACTTAATATATGTTAAATTAATAAAGAGGTGAATGAAGAAGTGGATGAAAGGCCTCATTTGTCACTCTCTGTTGTTAGAAGTGCACTGTCAGGGTCAGAGGCACCAGGCAGCCAAGGATCCTAGCCCCCAGGGATAGAAATAACCACAGCCATCAGTTGTGGGCTTCCACTAAGCGCTTTGTGTATCTCTCTTGAGGGCATGATGTCACATCAATAGTAAATGTGAGCCTGCCTTGGAGGCTGAATGAATCTGACTCAGTTCTGTGTCCCCAGAATACCTAGGGCAGTGCATTATGCATAGTGGATAATCCAGAAAATAGCCATTGAATGGATAGATGAATGGTGCTCCTTACAGAAGTATGTACATGCCTCATAACCTAAAGGTACTCATGAAGAAACCTCAAAGTAGAAATCTCTAAAAGTAGAATTTCAGACACTATACCAGTATTACCTGGCAGAGACACTGTGGAGGGCAAAGGAGACTTTCTGAGGGTCTTTGAGTCACTCATTTGTTTATTTAAAAAATATATATCCACTGGGTGTGGTGGCTCCCCATGTAATCCCAGCACTTTTGGAGGCTAAGGTGGGGACACCACTTGAGGTCAGGAGTTCGAGACCAGCATGGCAAAACCCCATCTCTACTAAAAATACAAAAATTAGCCAGGTGTGGTGGCACATGCCTGTAATCCCAGCTACTCAGGAGGCTGAGGCATGAGAATTGCTTGAACCTGGGGGACAGAGGTTGCAGGGAGCCAAGATTGTGCTGCTGCACTTGAGCCTGGAAAACAGGGTGAGATTCTGTCTCAAAATAAAAAAATAATAAAATACAAAAATAAAAAAATATATTGGGGGCCTGATATGTGCCAGGCACTTCTCCAGGCGCTTGGCCTATGCCAATGAACAAGGCAAGATGCCTGCCCTTCTGGAACTTACATTGTAGGGGAGACAGTAGCAATGGTTACAATAAATAAACTGTAGAGTGTGCTTAAAGGGTAAAAATTCTCTGGAGAAAATAGAAGCAGGGCTGATAAGGGGCTCAGGAGTGCAGGGGGCAGGGTGATGTCAATGGGTGGCCATTCATTGGTCAGCGTAGCCACACGGTAGCTGCAGAGTCTGTCCATGAGGACAAGGACACCTACATAGCTGAATTTGCTCAAGGAAGGCTGTGTGTACTTAAAAAAATAGTTTAAATCTACGAAACCAAAACATTACTTCCCAAAGTAAAGGGAAAGGCAGATGATAAACAACTTCAAGAAGTTTTAATGAGCTCTGCTTACAAACACTTAAAGAAGTAGGACAGAACAGAAAGAGAGTAATTTGTTTGATTTGATGAATTCCTGCTGTAAACTTTAATGTGTGTTTTGGGTAATTTGAGATACCTTCATAATAAGTGATATTCATTGCCACTGAATGAATGATTTGAAAATGGACCATCGTCAGCAATGTAAGTTGTGTTTGGGAAGAGCCAAGGTTGGTTGTCAGGCTTTGGGCCTGCTGCTTATGTTAATATTATAAAGAGAAAATCCACCTGTAAATGAAGAAAATAATACTTAGGGGCTGTGTTCTAACCAGATGGACATTGGAAGGTTTGGAACAAATGTATGCAGTAGAAAAGGATGAGATCATGTAGGGTTTGTCTTCAGTTGTAAATAAAAGGCATTGCACTGAACTGCTAGATCAAGACATTCTCTGGTACTAGAATTGTGTTGTTATTCCTGCAGGTGTGATTGTAAAGCAAATACCAGTGTCCAAGGAATCACATTGCCTCAACTATCTTAGTGAGCTCTACATCTCTGGAGAGGCCAGCTCACTTCCCTGGTATGGTGCTTTTTATTAAATGGCTTGAATTCTTGCAATTGTAGCCACCTACAATCTTAATTATTCTCATCGACTTTTCCTAGTCTCAAGGAAGGTGAACCCAAGCAAAGGGGTAAGGGTAATTTGATGAGGACGTCAAGGGTAACAGAATCTTCTTATTTCACTCCTATCTGATATAATGACTAGAATAAAATCTTGGAGCTTTTCATTCAAAGTCAATGAAAAGACCTCCTAGATATTTGAATAAAATACAAATAAAAACACTATGTAGTAACTACACATATCAAAGAAATGGGTGTACTCAGGTGAAAGCTCCAGCTTCATAAACAATTTTTTGCTTTTCTTAAATGTACCAAATAAGACATAACAAGAAATAAGCTTAATTCTTTAAATAAATAAGTTACTATTTATTACTACTTATGCATATTAAGGGTATTTAAAAATATACAAATTATAGACCTACTCTTTTGAAAACAATCAGAAAATTATAGGTAAGCAAAAGTAAGAAAATATTCATAATATTATCACTGAGAGATGAACACTATTCCATTTTGGTATATATTTTTTCTAGAATCTTTTCAAAAGTCTGATCTTAATTTACATATTACTTTATAACGATGATAACCATAAAACAAATGGTCAATTATTTCCTTCATGTGTGTCTCATATGGTTTTTTATCATATAATAGGCACTTCTGAAAGACACTACACTTAAAAATTGAAAATAGATAAATGAAAATGACCACAAAACAAAGGGCTAGTGTTTGACAAAATTTTTAGGAGGAAACGTAAGATAAAATCTTTGTGACATTGGATTAGGCAAAGTTCTCTTAAACGGAACACACAAAAATATCATTCGCCAAATGAAACAAAAAGCATAGACTTCCTCAAAATTAAGAATTTTTGTAAAATAGATATCTGACAAAGGGTTTTCATCCAAAATATATCTTAAAAATCACTCAAGTAGAAGACAATCTCCCTACCTCCAGCAAAAACTGGATAAAATATTTGAACAGATGCTTCACAAAAGAGGAGATGTGAGTAGTTGCTGTGATGATTAATTTTATGTGTGAATGTGACTAAGTAATCCACAGGGTGCCGAAACATTTGGCCAAACCCCATTTTGGGTGTGTCAGTGAAGGTGTTTCTGTATGAGATTCACATTTGAATCAGCAGCTGAGTAAAACTGCCCCCGTAATGTCCATGGGCCTCATCTGACCCACTGAAGACCTGAATAAGAGGAAGCTTTGCCTGACTGAATGCTGAGCTGTCAGCTTCTCCTGACAAACGTAGCCATTAAGCACATAAAATATTAGTCATCAAAGAAATGCAAGTTAAAACCACAAAGAGTTGCCACTATACACTTGGTAGAATGACCAAAGTAAAACAAACAAACAAACAAACAAACAAACAAAAAAAAACTGACTATACCAAGTGTTGGAGAGAATGTGAAGCAACTGAAACTCTCCTACACTGCTTTTGGTGTATTAAATGGTACGACCACCTTAGAAAGCAATTTGGCAATATCTTATGAAAGTTAAATATGCACTAATATAACCAAGCACAATCATCTGGAGAGAAGTGAAGATACATGTTCACAAAAAGACATGTACATGAATATTCATCATCATTCATAATAGCCAAAAATGAAAATAATCACATGTTTATCAACTGGCGAATGATAAATTGTGGAATATGCATGCAACAAAGGAACAAGATATTAAACACAGTAACATGAATAAATTTAAAAAAATTTTGCTGGCCAGGCGCAATGGCTCATGCCTGTAATCCTAGTGCTTTGGCAGGCTGAGGCGGGTGGATCACTTGAGATCAGGAGTTCAAGACCAGCCTGACCAACATGGTGAACCCCGTCTCTACTAAAAATACAAAATTAGCTGGGTGTGGTGGCACACGCCTGTAATCCCAGCTACTAGGGAGGCTGAGGCAGGAAAATCACTTGAACTTGACAGGCGGAGGTTGCAGTGAGCCGAGATCACACCATTGCACTCCAGCATGGGCAACAAGAGCGAAACTCCATTTTAATAATAATAATAATGATGTAAAAATTGTGCTAAGTGGAATAATTCAAACACAAAAGATTATATTGTATGATTGCATTTATGTGAAACACTAGACAAAGTAGGTCAAAGAGTGACTGAGGGCATTAGATATGGAAGGGGATGGTGGTTACATGACTGTATACAAGCTGTACACTTTGAAAAGATGAATTTTATTGTATATAATGTAAGCCTGAATCAGCTGGAAAGAAGTGGCAGAAGATACATGAAAGTTACCACAAAGAAAAGAGCTACTTTTCGAATGCCTTGAGCATGCCAAATTGCAGAATCAAAGGGAGGTTTTGTCATCTTTTTCCGTTAGCGTCAATATCACCTCTGATAGATATGACTTTCAGAAGACACTGCTTTGGTTTGATCAGTAATTTTTATTTGTCTTTTGGATTCACAGAGATAACATTCTAAGGAGCACTCAATTCTTGCCACAAAACCTGAACCTTGTCTATATTCAATATCTGTGAGGTGAAAACCACAAAAGAAATAGGGATGGAATAAAGGGGAGAGGAAGTGCAATAAACATTGCAAAATCAAAGGTATTCATAACAATGAGCTAAAGTGCATTCAAATCAGCAATTGTGTAATAGCTGAAGACCTTATGAATTGTTCTTTGCCTCAGAGATGTGACAATTGCTGCTTATATAAAGGCCACAGATACACAATTTAATTTAACATTTATGGAGTCTTTACAAAGCACTAGACCTTTGCTAGGTCTTGGGGTTCAAAGATTGGGAGACATAGAATATGTGTCCTCAGATGATCTAGTGAAGAAACAAGCACTCCAGAAAATATTTACAATTTCAAGAGTGGTTATAAGGGAGCTTTATATAGAATGCAATGACAAGGGCAGGCATAGGAGTAATTAATTCTGCCTAGATATTTGAATCATGGCCTCACAAGTATGACATTTGAGCTGGAGTTTTTCAGGTGAGCAGGAAGAAAGAGAATTCCATGCAGAGGGAACACCAGGACCAAAAGAGTGGTGGTGAAAACATGCATAGGAGATCCAGTCTATAGGGAACATTCAGTAAGGATGTCAGGTAAAAAAGACAATGGTAAGATACAAGGCTGGCAAGGGTCACGCAGAGAAGGGCCATGCTTAGTGGTTTTTAATTTATTCTGCTTGAATGGAGAGCTAAAATGCAACTTTAAGCATAGTGCAGTAGCTGCTTTGGGGCCATGCCTGGCTCCCACTTACTACCAAAGCACACTTCCTCCAACTGGTACACATGTTGGCTGCTAGAGGCTCACAAATGCTTCTCTTCTTAGGATAATTGTCCTCAGCTGATAGGAGTCACTTTGCCTGGGAAGTTACTCCCCTCTCCCCACTGATATCTTGAGCAATGCACAGCCCATGATGGATTTATCTGAGGATAAAAAGACCAGCCCCTGTACCTTCATGGGAAACCATTGTGTTGTGGTTTTGGTTCAGAGTCCTCCCTCAGCAGATCGGGTCAAGGCTAGACATCCCCCAACAGCACATACTTTCCTCTTTTCTATCCTCTTCACTCCTTCCCTTGCAAGTTTTTCTTGAGAGGACCCCTCAGAAATTCAGAAGTACCCCTATTCCTGTCTCTTTTCTATCCTCTTCACTCCTCCTCTTGCAGGTTTTTCTTGAGAGCACCCCTCAGAAAATCACAAGTACCCCTATCCTGTCTTAGACTCTGTTTCTAGAGACCATGACTCATGACACTAGGGAATAAGGTGATCAGATTTGTGTTTCAGAAGAAGATCTCAAGGTAGTAGAAGTTGGACAGACTTTAGAAACGGAGAAGGTGCAAGGACAATAGATTTCAGAGATAATGAGGGCCTGGATGGGAGCACCAAAGATTAAGGGACAGGGAGAGGGAGAAGTGACTCCATTATCTCTTGGGTCAGAGGGTATGTGAAGGAGAGAGAAAAGTCTAGGATGACCCCAAAGTTTTGAGGGTGGTTGGATGGGCAATATCATCTACCAAACTACACAATGAATGAGAGAAAACACATCTGGGAGGCAAGATGCAGGCCGACTTGAACTTGATACATCTTGAGACATCTAATGGGGCATCTAGCAGATAATATCCAGTAAATAGTTTGAAATAAGATTCCAGAGCCCCGGTGAGAGGGCAGGGATAGAAATGCAGATTTGGGAGCCATGAACATGTAATTGGTCATTGAATCTATAACCATGGATGAGGAAAAGTGGGCATGGCCACCCTCCGAAGAACTAACCCTTGAGAGGCTATTGGATGATGGGAAACCAACTGAAGAGATCACTGAAGGGCTCCAAGGGGAAAGGGGAGAATCTGAAGAGAGAGGTAATGTCCACAGAAGAGATACTACATTTGAAGAAGAGAATGATTGCAAATGCTAAGGGCAGCAGAGAGTTGAAGTGGCTGAGTACTAGGAATAGGGCAATAGATTCATCAATTTGGAGGTTCTAGATGACTTTGACAGAATATGTCCATCTGTAGTGAGGATAGAGCTAAATGACATTGGGGTCAGAGGGGAATGGGAGGTGAGACGATTGAGGCCAGATGCTTGCATCAAAAGCCTTTTACCCTGTGATTTCCTTCTCCGTACTAAATACTTGAAGTTATTTTGATTCCTTCCTTGTAGCCCATTTTGTTTAGACTGTAGACGTGAATTGTGCATCTGTCAGAAAGAAGAAGCATCTTCCAACTGTGAGGCACAGGCAGCCCAGAAACATACAAACTGTGATGCAGTAAGATCTTAGCCAGTTAACCAGTCTTCCTGCCCACCCATAACTCTGCAAAGAGCAGCTCAGACAGTCCTTGCAAAGGCCCTTGAAGTTCCTGCCCACCCTGGGCATGCGGATTCCACGCTGTGATCCTGGAATCACAGTCAGCCTCCCTTAGGGGGCTGCCCTCCAACTCCAGGAGCTAAAGGTCACAGCCACCCCTGTTCATGAAAAATGCATTTTCCATGGAATCATGTCAACTTGACACTCCTGAAAGAAGGCAAGAACAATGAGAAAGCATTCCAATGAAGCTGTCCTTCCAAACTGCTTTTGCTTTGAATCTTTTTTTTGTTTGTTTCTGTCTTACAACCATCTTTCTATTTAGTAGTTTTTTCTTTGGTGAGTTTACTCTTTGTTTTTCTCATTTCTGCTCCCACCTCTACAGCATACTGGCTAAGTTTTAACGTTGAATTAGAAAATCAAACGTGGGTCAGGTACAGTGGCTCACACCTGTAATCCCAGTACTTTGGGAGACCCAAGCAAGTGGATTGCTTGAGCCCAGGAGTTTGGGACTAGCCTGGACAACATGGCAAAACCCCATCTCTACAAAAACTACAAAAAGTTAGCCAGGTATGGTGGCACATGTCTGTAGTCCCAGCTACTCAGGAGGCCACGATGGGAGGATCAACTGAGACCGAGGGGTTGAGGCTGCAATGAATGATGATCACACCACTGCACTCCAGGCTCGGCAGCAGGGTGAGACCCTGCTTACAAAAAAAAAAAAAAAAAAAAAAGGCTCTAACTCAGGAGAGAGTTCACGTTGGAAATAGGAGGCCAGGATATTCTCTTGGACCTAGCTCATTTGCTCAGCTTCACTGGCCCTGGGGCTTTACTGCTTGCTCCAGGGAGAGCCCTGGTTGCTGCCACCTGGCTCAGCCTCCTATCACCTCAGACTTTTTCAGCTTCCCATAGGGATGAGGGCCAGGAAGGGCGAGGTCTCCGTCTCTCATGACCTTGCTTGAGCAGACAGAGTATGGTTACCTTAACGCCTTCTAGATGCACATCCAGACCCACACTGCAAAGTACAGCATCTAGCTTTTTTAGCAACTACCTTGAAGCTCAAGGCAACACCACCTAGAAGTGCAGGAGGATCAAAGTTCCTCTGAACAAACTTTGACCAGTAAGAAACAGGAGATGGGAAAAACTCAGCAGATAAATCATTCCTCCTTTTGTTCTGCATCAGACGGTGTTCTGTGAGGCCGGGGATTTCTGCCCTGCCTGTCTGGAAGACATTCCACCTGCTCACGCCCCAGCCGAGTTTCTTGTAATGTTGTGACCAGCTGGCATTTGCTTTTTCTTCTTTTATTACATCCTTCTTTCCCTTGCTCTAGCTTCCCTGAAAACATATCTTCCAATAAAGCCTTAGTAAATCAATTTTGTTTCAAGCTTTGTTTTCTATGGAACCCAGGCTAAGTCAGAAACTCAAAAGGGAGACTTGTTTATAGAACTTAGAGTTGGACGGGTCTTAAAGACCATCAAGTTCAAACTCCCATCCACCAGAGGAAATTTTCTTTCACATGCTTGGGCATAGCTAACAAAGGGATACTCACTTTCTGGAGAGTCCATCCATTCCAGCCCAGAGAACCCAGTGTGTGAATATTTCTCTCTCATATTGGGATAAAGACCTGCTGTTTTTTTTTTTTAATTTTGTTTTTTTTTTTGTAACTTCCATTCATTAATTCTAGCATTCACTTATTTCACCTGTGTGTCAGACGTTCAAGAACAGCATGATCCCAGGGCTACCCATTTGGAAACACTAGTCCTGAAAAAGGAGACTTAGAAATTATTCTGCTTCCTTTATCTATGTTTATCCTATTCTAAAAAATAGGCAGTATAACTAAAATAATGTAGTCAACTCTTCCCCAGTTAACCAATAGGCAAGTGCTGGTTATATCTTGCCAATTTGCTTCAGCCTCCCTCTCAATGTTCCAAATGAAATTGATTTAAGTTGAATAAAAGGAGGTTGGGCTATTACATAATGGTTCTCTGGAGACTGCACTTCAAGCCTCGTTGCTCACTGAATCACCCAGCTTGCACACTTTCCTGCAGAGACTCCCTGTTCCTCTCCATACTTCCATTCGTATCCTACTTATCTTTATCGTGACACTCACCTCATTGCGTTAGAACTCTTTGTTTATGTTCTCCCTCCCCCAAAGTAAGAACTGTCTTCTTCATATTTCTCGTCCACTCACAGCCTCTGATTCCCAAGATAAAGCCCAGCATCCTGCACATTGTAGGCCTCAAATGTGTTATACCTGGGTCAATATTCCTATTTCCCATGTCTAAGGGGAGAATATAAATGCAGGTGGACCTGCTTCTCTGTCAGATTAGGGTGATTGTTGCTGAACAACTGAGACAAAATATCTGAAAATTGCACAAGTTTTTCTAAGCTGGTAAAATAAAACATAAAGTATAAATATTTTGGCAGTCCCAGTAGTGTTTTAGGTAAGTGGCTTGAACTAGATTTGTGGGGAACGAAAAAAGTTACTTCTTAATTATCTTCCTTTTCATCTTAATTCTGTGGCTTTTCTTCATTTTCTTGACAGGAAAGTTCTTTTTTCTCCAAACAGAGCCCTTTGGTTTGCTTCCCAGTGCCCTGAAGAAGGCCCCAGGGTCTGAACATCTGCATTGTGCTGTAACACATTCCCTGTGCAAATGGTGCTCTTTAGGAAATCGCCTAGGCAAAGCAAGCACAATGAGACTTTTATTTTCAACATTGCTTATTTTGACGTGTTTCCCAGAACCAAAGTTTTGACATATTTCTCATTTTCCCTCCTTTCCTGCGAATACTAAGTGAAGAGGCATGCTTATACATGAAGTGCATGCCACTAACTTGTTTACAGCTGAGTGTGTGCTTCAATTTTGTTTTCTCTCAGTGGTGATAGATTTGCACCTCTTCATCCACCTCTATCATTCCTCCTTCTTGTGATGAACAAAGTACATTTGTCAAAAGGACAGCTTAATTCAAGACTCTGGTCTGTGGTCTTGGAATAAAATTAAGGTGCTGACCTCCTTTGAGATATCTTTTACCCGACTGCCATGAGAACATCCACTTGGTGTGATTTGAGGAATGTGAGATTTCCCTGAAAAAAATTCACTCTTCCCCATCCAGAGTCACATTTTGGAAGTGCACGATTCCCACTTCTAAAAGCAACAAGTATCTTACAAAAATGCACAAAATTACCTGAGAAGGTTAATTTAGATCATCTCAGCCATGATTACCTCTGTTCCATTTGCTTTATCAAATTAATTAGCCGGTAATGTAGCAGGTCCCTAGGAGAAGATTTGAAGCACCAGGGGCAGGAAAGTCAAGATTCTCTCTCCAGCCTGGGGCCATATTAAATAAATAAGCCCAATAGAGCACTATAATAGCAGGCTATGACTGTAAAGCAACAGAGGGTAGCCAGATGCAGAAGCTTTGATGGCGAGAACAGGGCTGTGAAGGAAATTTATAGACATTTAGCCTGCTTCACAGTTTTTGCCTAGAGTCTATTCTACCTGAAAACTGTTGCCCCACGAGGTTGCATAAAACCAAACACCAAGAAGTGGGAAATAGGAAGACTTAAATATAATATTTATTTTACCTTGAAACTGTAGCCTAGCTTGGTTTATTAGATATGGTGTTGGAATTGCTTGGGATATACCTTGGAAACAAAACAACCAACCACACACACACACACACACACACACACACACACACACACATTCACATACAACCTGGAAAAGAACACACTCAAATCATGTATTTACTATTTAATGTCATCTGCAGTGGGTAAACTTATTTACTCTGGAGTTAGCTGGACCAAAGCAATAGCTTCCCATATTTAGATAGATTGTGGCGTGTACTACCTTTCAACCTGTGAAGTAATATTGATCAGAGTTCTGCAAATTTTAATGTAAAGTGATAAAGAGCTTGTAAGAATGCATGCTGGCTCACTCTGTACTCAGTTAGCAGCAAGTTAAAAAGGAGTGTGGGGAAAATGCTTTTCCGAATCTATCTAACTAGTTAACATGGAGTTGTGTTTTGCTGCAGGATCTGTGCACAATCTCAAAATAAGTGGCTGGGAGGTGGGTGGGGGTGCTAGATATGGTCACCATCCTTCCATCCATGGGAAGTCTGTAATACAGCTCTGTGTGTGTAAAGGTAGGGGTGGTGGTTGAGGGTGGTGGAGAACATAGCCACCAAATAAAGGCATAATTTAACGATCCATTGAAGTTAATCTGCTCCTCAAGGCAAAACCTTCATCTTCCCTTTGGAATAAAACAGTGGACACTGTGGACAGACAGCAATGGGAAGAATCAAATGTGGAAAGTCTCTAGCCAAGCTTTTACTTTGTGTATAGATGGCAAGAAGTCTTTCCACAGTATCTCTGTCTACTGTTTAGGATTGTTCTAAAGAGTTATGACATAATTGCAGAGATGACTGCAATCAACGTTCATTAGTGGTACATGTTAAAAGGGTTAAAACTGGGAAGTACATGCCTTAGGAATTGATGGGCCTACTGTGGCTTCTTCACTGTCATCATTACCATCATCATCACCACCATCGTCATCATCATTATCATCATTGACAGCAACACTATATTATTATGACATTTAAGACACTGTGATAGACATTAAGGTACAAAAACATAATAAAAGTTTTAATATCCCACTAAAAAGGAATATATCAATAGAAACATATTAGAGGCAATTTGCTAAAATGGTTAGAGAAATAAAACACATATACATGTAAAATATACATGCATATGTATGCATAGTTTCACATATGAATATATGCATATATATGTTTTTTCATTTCTTAAATCTTGGAATTGTTCTCAGGATTAAATGAGTAATTCACTTGAAGTACTTTGTACTTTTCTCTCCTATAAGCATCATTGAAGAAACTGGGGCTGTTTAATCTGGAGAGGAGAGTGAATAGGGGGCTGTCCTTTCCAAATGGCACCTCCTGCAGGACACTGTGCTCTTTTGGGGGGTGACTGACAACGTATCCTGGGCCATCGAAAGGGAAGCAAACAGCAGGGCAGTTTGGATGAGGCTCAGTCACGTCTCAGGGCCTGTCGGGGGGCATCTGCCATGCAAAAACCTCCATTGATGAAAGGCTCTTTCCTGGAGGGAAAAAAAGTAGCTCCTCCTCATGGACAATGTGGAGGGAGGCTCAGCAATGGCAATGGTGGCTTTCAAGCATCAGCTTGACTCTTCTACAGCCAAAGTCAGCCCCTCCCAGTGCTCAGGTGATGCTCAAAACTGTCTTCACTTCTTTAAGAACAGATATACAGACCAGTGGATCAGATTAGAAGACCAAGAAAAAGACTCTCATGTATAAAGTCAATTGATTTCAGACAAAGCTCTCAAAGTAATTCAATTGGGAATGGATTTCAAACAACAGTGCTGGAAAAATGGATTATACATATTTCAGGAAATATGAGAGAGAACCTCAACCCTTTTATCATACCAAATAGAAAAATTAAACAGATTGCAGACCTACTTGTTTAAGCTAACACTATAAAACATCTATCAGGAAACAAGGGAAAACATGAAATCTTTGTTACTTTAGGTTAGGTAAAGTTTTCCAAGAGAGGTCACAAAAATTCTGTACCATAAAAGAAAAAAAAAAAAACAGGCCAGGTGCAGTGGCTCACGCCTGTAATCCCAGCACTTTGGGAGGCCGAGGCGGGCGGATCACGAGGTCAGGAGATTGAGACCATCCTGGCTAACACGGTGAAACCCTGTCTCTACTAAAAATACAAAAAATTAGCCAGGCGTGGTGGTGGGTGCCTGTAGTCACAGCTACTTGGGAGGCTGAGGCAGGAGAATGACGTGAACCCGGGAGGCGGAGGTTGCAGTGAGCTGAGATGGTGCCACTGCACTCCAGCCTGGGCGACAGAGCGAGACTCCGTCTCAAAAAAAACAAAAAACAAAAAAAAAGATGTATTGAACTTCGTAAATTTAAAAACTCTTCCTCTTCAAAAAACATTGTTAAGAAAATGAAAAGACAGGCTCCAGAAGGGTGAAAATATTCTCAATGCATATACCTGACAACCCTTATAGGTCAATAATAATAATTTGAATAATCCAATTAAAATGGGCACAATATCTCAATAGAGACTTTCCAGAAAAAAAAAAAAAGGCACATGAAGAGATGCTCAGCACCATTAATCAAGAAGAAAATGCAAATTAAAACCACAATGAGATATATAAACAGCTACTTTGGGACACAGAGAGTTTCTTTAAAAGTAAATATGTACCCACCATTTGACCTAGCAATTCTACTCCTAGCTACTTACCCAAAAGAAATGAAAACATATATTCACACAAAGGTATGCATGAGAGTATTCAGAGCATCTTTATTCATAATAGATTAAAAAATGGGAAAGAACCTAACTACCCGTTCACAGAAAAAGGGATTAGTAAGTCCATTGTGGTATGCCCATGCAGTGGAACACTATTCAGCAATCACAGTAAATGATGAATACACCCAACTACATGAATGAATCTCAAAAGCATGTTATGTTAAGTGAAAGACACCAAACACACCAGCAAAGAGAAGATTGTTTGCTCCCATTTTTTTTGATATTTTCTCTCTTTTTTTTTACATGACTAAACTGTTAGGTTTTTATTTATATATTATATACATTTTAAATTTTACTTTAATTTATGGGATACATGTGCAGAAGGTGCAGGTTTGTTACACAGGTATACATGTGCCATGGTGGTTTGCTGCATCTATCACCCCGTCATCTAGGTTTTAAGCCCCACGTGCATTAGGTATTTGTCCTAATGTTCTCCCTCCCCTTGCCCCCAACCCACTGACAGGCCCGGTGTGTGATGTTCCCCTCCCTGTGTCCATGTGTTCAACTCTCACGTATGAGTGAGAACATTTGGTGTTTGGTTTTCTGTTACTGTGTTACCTTGCTGAGAATGATGGTTTCCAGCTTTGTCCGTGTCTCTGCAAAGGACATGAATTCATTCTTATTTATGGCTGCATAATATTCCATGGTGTATATGTGCCACATTTTCTTTATCCAGTCTATCACTGATGGGCATTTGGGTTGGTTCCAAGTCTTTGCTATTGTAAATAGCGCTGCAATAAACATACATGCACATGTGTCTTTATAGTAGAATGATTTATAATCCTTTGGGTATATACCGAGTAATGGGATTGCTGGGTCAAATGGTATTTCTGGTTCTAGATCCTTGAGGAATCTCCACACTGTCTTCCACTTTTTATGGCATTCTAGCAAAGGCCAGATTATCGTGACAGAAAGCAGAGCTGTGGTTGCCTGGGGCTTGGGCTCCGGAAGGAGCGTTGGTCATGAGGAAACTTTTGGGGATTGAAAATGTTCTACATCTTGACTGAGATGGTGGTTACACAATTGTATATATTTGTCAAAGCTCATTGGACTGGACATTTAAAATAATGTGTCTTATTGTTTGTGAATTCTATTTCAATTAAAATGATTTAAAAATACTTAATATATAATCTCCCTAAATATAGTCTCTGAACTGTATTTAGATTTTATTTTTTTAATGAAACTTCTTTTTTATTATGCTTTAAGTTCTAGGGTACATGTGCACAACATACAGGTTTGTTACATATAAACATGTGCCATGTTGGTGTGCTGTACCCATTAACTTGTCATTTACATTTACAATAAACATACGTGTGCATGTGTCTTTATAGTGGCACGATTTATAATCCTTTGGGTATATACCCAGTAATGGGATGGCTGGGTCAAATGGTATTTCTGTTTCTAGATCCTTGAGGAATTGCCACACTGTCTTCCACAATGGTTGAACTCGTTTACAGTCCCACCAACAGTGTAAAAGTGTTCCTATTTCTCCACATCCTCTCCAGCACCTGTTGTTTCCTGACTTTTTAATGATCGCCATTCTAACTGGTGTGAGATGGTATCTCATTGTGGTTTTGATTTGCATTTCTCTGATGGCCAGTGATGAAGAGCATTTTTTCATGTGTTTGTTGGTTGCATAAATGTCTTCTTTTGAGAAGTGTCTGTTCATATCCTTCGCCCACTTTTTGATGGGGTTGTTTTTTTCTTGTAAATTTGTTTGCGTTCTTTGTAGATTCTGGATATTAGCCCTTTGTCAGATGGATAGATGGCAAAAATTTTCTCCCATTCTGTAGGTTGCCTGTTCACTCTGATGGTAGTTTCTCTTGCTGTGCAGAAGCTCTTTAGTTTAATTAGATCCCATTTGTCAATTTTGTCTTTTGTTGCCATTGCTTTTGGTGTTTTAGACATGAAGTCCTTGTCCATGCCTATGTCCTGAATGGTATTGCCTAGGTTTTCTTCTAGGGTTTTTATGGTTTTAGGTCAAACATTTAAGTCTTTAATCCATCTCGAATTAATTTTTGTATAAGGTGTAAGGAAGGGATCCAGTTTCAGCTTTCTACATATGACTAGTCAGTTTTCCCAGCACCATTTATTAAATAGGGAATCCTTTCCCCATTTCTTGTTTTTGTCAGGTTTGTCAAAGATCAGATGGTTGTAGATGTGTGGTATTATTTCCGAGGGCTCTGTTCTGTTCCATTGGTCTATATCTCTGTTTTGGTATTAGTACCATGCTGTTTTGGTTACTGTAGTCTTGTAGTATAGTTTGAAGTCAGGTAGTGTGATGCCTCCAGCTTTGTTCTTTTGGCTTAGGATTGTCTTGGCAATGCGGGCTCTTTTTTGGTTCCATATGAACTTTAAAGTAGTTTTTTCCAATTCTGTGCAGAAAGTCATTGGTAGCTTGATGGGGATGGCATTGAATCTATAAATTACCTTGGGCAGTATGGCCATTTTCACGAGATTGATTCTTCCTATCCATGAGCATGGAATGTTCTTCCATTTGTTTGTATCCTCTTTTAGTTCGTTGAGCAGTGGTTTGTAGTTCTCCTTGAAGAGGTCTTTCACCTCCCTTGTAAGTTGGATTCCTAGTATTTTATTCAGTTTGTAGCAATTGTGAATGGGAGTTCACTCATGATTTGGCTCTCTGTTAGTCTGTTATTGGTGTATAAGAATGCTTGTGATATTTGCACATCGATTTTATATCCTGAGACTTTGCTGAAGTTGCTTATCAGCTTAGGGAGATTTGGGGCTGAGACGATGGGGTTTTCTAAATATACAATCATGTCATCTGCAAACAGGGACAATTTGACTTCCTCTTTTCCTGATTGAATACCCTTTATTTCCTTCTCCTGCCCGATTGCCCTGGCCAGAACTTCCAACACTATGTTGAATAGGAGTGGTGAGAGAGGGCATCCCTGTCTTGTGCCAGTTTTCAAAGGGAATGCTTCCAGTTTTTGCCCATTCAGTATGATATTGGCTGTGGGTTTGTCATAAATAGCTCTTATTATTTTGAGATACATCTCATCAATACCGAATTTATTGAGAGTTTTTAGCATGAAGGGGTGTTGAATTTTGTCAAAGGCCTTTTCTGCATCTACTGAGATAAACATGTGGTTTTTGTCTTTGGTTCTGTTTATATGCTGGATTACATTTATTGATTTGTGCATGTTAAACTAGCCTTGCATCCCAGGGATGAAGCCCACTTGATCATGGTAGATAAGCTTTTTGGTGTGCTGTTGGATTCGGTTTGCCAGTATTTTATTGAGGATTTTTGCATTGATGTTCATCAGGGATATTGGTCTAAAATTCTCTTTTTTTGTTGTGTCTCTGCCCGGCTTTGGCATCAGGATGATGCTGGCCTCATAAAATGAGTTACAGATGATTCCCTCTTTTTCTATTGATTGAAATAGTTTTAGGAGGAATGGTACCAGCTCCTCCTTGTACCTCTGGTAGAATTCGGCTGTGAATCTGTCTGGTCCTGGACTTTTTTGGTTGGTAGGCTATTAATTATTGCCTCAATTTCAGAGCCTGTTATTGGTCTATTCAGGGATTCAACTTCTTCCTGGTTTAGTCTTGGGAGGGTGTACGTGTGGAGGAATTTATCCATTTCTTCTAGATTTTCTAGTTTATTTGCATAGAGGTGTTTATAGTATTCTCTGATGGTAGTTTGTATTTCTGTGGGATCGGTGGTGATACCCCTTAATCATGTTTCATTGCATCTATTTGATTCTTCTCTCTTTTCTTCTTTATTAGTCTTGCTAGCGGTTTATCAATTTTGTTGATCTTTTCAAAAAACCAGCTCCTGGATTCATTGATTTTTTGAAGGGTTTTTTTGTGTCTCTATCTCCTTTAGTTCTGCTCTGATCTTAGTTATTTCTTGCCTTCTGCTAGCTTTTGAATGTGTTTGCTGTTGCTTCTCTAGTTCTTTTAATTGTGATGTTAGGGTGTCGATTTTAGATCTTTCTTCCTTTCTCTTGAGGGCATTTAGTGCTATAAATTTCCCTGTACACACTGCTTTAAATGTGTCCCAGAGATTCTGGTATGTTGTGTCTTTGTTCTCATTGGTTTTAAAGAACATCTTTATTTCTGCCTTCATTTTGTTATGTACCCAGTAGTCATTCAGGAGCAGGTTGTTTAGTTTCCAGGTAGCTGTGTGGTTTTGAGTGAGTTTCTTAATCCTATGTTCTAGTTTGATTGCACTGTGGTCTCAGAGACAGTTTGTTATAATTTCTGTTCTTTTACATTTGCTGAGGAGTGCTTTACTTCCAACTACGTGGTCAATTTTGGAATAAGGGCAATGTGGTGCTGAGAAAAATGTATATTCTGTTGATTTGGGGTGGAAAGTTCTGTAGATGTCTATTAGGCCCGCTTGGTGCAGAGCTGAGTTCAATTCCTGGATATCCTTGTTAACTTTCTGTCTCGTTGATCTGTCTAATGTTGACAGTGGGGTGTTAAAGTCTCCCATTATTATTGTCTGGGAGTCTAAGTCTCTTTGCAGGTCTCTAAGGACTTGCTTTATGAATGTGGGTGCCCCTGTATTGGGTGCATATATATTTAGGATAGTTAGCTCTTCTTGTTGAATTGATCCCTTTACCATTATGTAATGGCCTTGTTTGTCTCTTTTGATCTTTGTTGGTTTAGGCTGTCTTAGTCAGAAATTTAGAAAAATGGAGCAAAGGAAGGAAGGAAAGTAGGAAGGAGGGAGGGAAAGAAGGAAGTGAGGGAAGGAAGAAGGAAGGAAAGTACAATGGGTTGAATGTTTGTATGTCTGTGTCCCCACAAAATTCGTACGTTGAAACCCTACTCCCCAATGTGATGGTATTATATTATGTCAGCCCTTTGGGAGGTGATTGCAGTTAGATGAGGTCATGAGGGTGGAGCCTTGTGAATGTGGTTAGTGCTTTATAAATGTCATGGGGAAGCTTTCTCTCTTTCCTCTGCTGTCAATGAGAAGTCAGCAGTCAGCTACCTGGAAGAGGGTCCTCACCAGAATCTGATTATAATGGCACCCTAATCTCAGACTTCCAGCCCCTAGAACCGTGAGAAACAAATTTTTGTGGTTTATAAGCCATCCAGTCTATGACAGTTTGATAAAGCAGGCTGCACTAAAACAGGAGGGAAAAAGGGGAAGAAAAGGCCAGGCATGGTGGCTCCTGCCTGTAATCCCAGCACTTTGGGAGGCCAAGGTGAGAAGATCACTTGAGCCTCTGAGTTTGAGACCAGCCTGAGCAACATGGCAAGACCCCATTTTCACACACACACAAAAATAGCTGGGGGCTGTGGCATGTGTCTGTAGTTCCAGCTACTCTGGAGGGAGACTGAGGCTGGAAGATCACTTGAGCCCAGAAATTTGAGGCTGCAGTCAGCTGTAATCACACCTCTACCTTCCAGCCTGGGCGACAGAGCAAGACCCTGTTGCACAAACAAATCAGCCCCCATTAAAAAAAAAGAAAAAGGAAGGAAGGGAGGGAAGAAGGAAGGAAAGAAGGGAGGGAACAACAGCTCTATCTTCTCTGACTGAGGCACAGGTTGGAGCCCTGAAGCCCTGCCCCTTCCACTCCTCTCAAGCCCCTTTCCCCTACTAACTCCTATCCGAGGCCCATCCAAACAGCCTGAGCCTGAGTGGTACACCGTGTGAAAACTATTGCTTCAGAGCAACTCTCCTAGGGCAGGAGCCCACTTTAGAATATGGCAAAAAAATCAAACCATTTATTTTTTGTTTTAATATTTAATTTCTAATAAATTTTTCTTAATCTAAAAAACTAGAAAGCCTAGAAGTGAAAACACCTTTGCCTATATATAGTAGTAGACAGAATAGTCAAGTACCAGGGAATAAAATGCCTACATAATAGATCAAAGTTAACACAACTTCCTAAAGCTTTATTCCTCCCATATGTCTACTAACTTAACCTCACTAGATGACACTGGATGACACCATTTATGGTTTGAGACTTGGTTTTACTGCTCAACTGTCCATTCCTTGAATTTATGGCAATGAAACTCCTTTCTCAGAGTACAGCTATGGGGCTATGCAGATAACTCTGCAAAGTCATGGGGAGCATTTATTACCATCATTATGGAACCCAAGGTATCAGAAGCTATAAAATGGAAACAATCATGCTGTGAAGCCTCAGTAGCAAAATGCTGACCAATTAATTCTGTGTATGAAAGCTTCTTACCATGCAAGAAAATGAATCCTGCTGTGTTCTGCTCTTTAAGATACTAAGAAGTGAAATGCAAAAAAATTATGGCAAATAAACTTCCATTTTTGCTAAAACTCCAGATGCACAAGGGATATTGTCTTTTTTTTTTCTCTCTAGCAGGAAATGAGGGATATTGTCTTTATGCAAGCAAAGTATTATTAAGCTCTGCATGTCTGCAACTCTGTGGTAGATCTTGAAATAGTCATAATACTGTTAAATTTACTATTCATTTTCCTTCCCCCACCAATTGTACCATAGCTGTGAGGGCCTGATTGAAAATAAGACAATGGATTTATTTTCTTCTCCTCCACCCATTCTCTCCACGATCTTGGGCAGATCGTTTCAATTCCCTGAACTGCAGCTTCTTGCAAAATGAGCTTATTAGATTAGATAAACTCCCTCATCACTCTACCTACTAGAAACATGGACTCTCTAAAACTCTGCCGAGTCTAAGCCAACTACCTTCTCCTTGGCATCTGCCCCACTGCATTTTAAGGACAGGAAAGATTGTAAGATTGTGAAAGGGGAATGGGGAAAAGAAGTAAAAGATGAAGCCTGAGGCAGATCTAAAATCAGCCAAAAAAAAAAAAAAAAAAAAAAAAAAGAAAAAAAGAAAAGAGAAAGAAAATAAAAGACAAAAAGAAAAAAATGGAACAACAGCTGGCTTAATTTCATTCCTTCTATCCAGCCCCAGGCCATATTCAGATCTGTAAGAAAAACAAGACAATTAATGCCCAAGAAGTCATTACCTCCTCATCACCAGATGCCCACAATGAAATGCAGGAAGTGGGAAAAGGAAACCAGGGAAGTTGTTCCCACATTGCTCATGGTTTACTGTGGTACTTCGGGGCTACACTTGGCCAGACAGCCTTGAACAGGTATCAACCCTTAGGTTGTCTCACAGTGCCCCCTTATTCTTTGGATAAATGAGAGAGGGTTGGGGGTCTCTAAGCTTTTAAAGGACGTGGGTCCTTGCAGCTGTGTCACTCAGCCAGCAATGTTTTTCCTCATAGTTTTGGGGTAGGTTTTCCTCAAAGGCAGGGGCTAAACAGAAGCCTAGAAGACATGGGCTTGTGCCTCTGGCAGTCCAAGTGCAGTCATGTATAGATTAGGCTGGAAGGCAGGATCTTCCTAAGAACCAGGAAAGGGAGGGAGTCAGAGGACAGACCCCCAGGATGGAGTCCAGCAAATTCGGATGTCTTAGAACTTGGCTCCTCCAGGAAAAGAGTAAACCTACATGAGGCCCCTGAAGCTGGCAAGTGAGAGAGAGGATTTCCACAGGGAGACTTCGGGACTCCCTCGACTCTTTGATTAGCTATGGGTAAGACTGTTCTCTGCATCTCGATTTTGCCACCTACATAACAAAGGATGACACTAAGAATTCAGAAAACATTTATTGAGTATTTGCTGTGTCCTAGGCACCTGGATACTGGCCTTCAGACATGTACACTGCCCACCACCAAGCACAACTGCAGACAGTAACACGAGCTGAGTCAGGGGTGCAGCAAAGAGCTGGGCAGCCAGAGGACAGAGAGATGCTCAGCACACTCTTCCCCTTTTTCCTATCTGGGACAGGATAACCTTTCTCCATTATCTGCTGCATTTCTGCAATGAAATGTCTCTGTTCCAGAATTCTGGTCATTTGTTTTTTTTTCTTTCAAATACTTCATTTCCAACCACCCTGTTAACGATCAATAAAGACAGAATTGACTGCCTGTCATTTCTGATTCAGATGACATTAGGTGAGCACTACTAACCTTGGGGAATGTAAAGTGGGAATCCCTTTCCCCAGAGTCTAATGGGAGTTCTGTTACAGTAGGTGGCTAGTCTATGAGCAGGGCAGGAGGGGGCTTCTCCCAAACACATCAGAAATGTTGGGCGACCATCAGGTGACGGTCAGGCGGTTGTTAAGTGTTTCTCTAAAGTAATAATTGGTCACAGCTGGCAACAGGGAAAGGCAGGCTCCTAATAGATAGAAAACACCTGAAAATGATCAGCAGCTTCTCAATGAGATCTCAAGAGTGGGGAAGAGTGACGCAAGATCCTGGAAGTATGCCAATGTACAAAACCCCCAAGTTAAGAGGTCAAGTTGCAGGCTTGGTCTCTCAAATCGCCTGCTTGGCCCTCTTATAAGTGTGCTTTCCTTCCTTTCTTCCCTTTCCTTCCCGCTCAAAAGCTTTTCGATAAACTTTCCCTCCTGCTCTAAAACTTGCCTCAGAATCTCCTTCTGCCCCTCAGTCAAATTCTTTCTTCTGAGGAGGCAAGAATGGAGGTTGCTGCAGACCCGCAGGGGTAACTATCAGCAGTCACAGTTCTGTTTTTTGGCAGCCCTGGTCACTCTAGTGCAAGTCACGTTCTGTTCCTGACTTCTGATTGACATTTTTCTCCCCCGGGAAGCAGAATTTTCTTATGATTTCAGAAGCAGAACCTGAGAGATAGGCAAGTCCATTAAAATCCATTCAGAAAAGAAATTGGCAACCTCTTTAAAGGCAAGGAGGGATTTTTGGATATAAAGAGAAAAGGTGGGGGAGAATATGAATAGGAAAGGAGATTTTCAAATTTCTTTGGAGATTCTATTTAGCCCAAGTTTTATGGTCACAAAGTTATCCCTAATGTGCAGTACAGATTTCCCTTCCTGAATCAGAAAAATGTTGCTACTATCCCACCTTCAGTGGAAAAGGGGGGCAGACTTTGAGATGTCCTCCTCAGTGACTATTGCCTCTAACAGGTATATAGGGTTTGAATTTAGTCAACCTGGATTCGAGTTGCAGGTCACTAACGTTAACAAGGTCACTTTCTTTGACTGAACCTCTGTTTCCTTTTGTACCTTAGTTTTTACCTATGAAGAGAGGACAATAATTGCACCTATTTCATAGGGTTGTAATGAAGGTTCAAGGAGAGAATTCATTTTCAACATTGGGAACAGTGCCTGGTACATTAAAAATGTTAGAAAATGTTAACTATTGTGACAGAATGTACAGCATGTGTTCCTAGTGTGTGCTCAACGGCCACAGGAACACCTTGTCCCTAGTTTTTCAGATAAGATCTCTACCTCCAAAAATCCCGGGCTATTAAACGATGGGCTGTGGGGACACTTAAAGCTTAACAATCTCTATTGAGGTAAATTTATCTGCCACTTAAAAACTGCATGATTTGGAGCTAAATCTTATTAAGGTTAGATTTCTTTTTCCACAAATTGGGGATAATAATATCTGCACCACATTTCTTGGGAGAATTAAGTGTGCTAATGTGTGCAATTTAGCAAGATACTTAGATAAATTGTCCAATCATGGTTCCTGCCTTGCTGAGGAAAATGGTTCTTCTCACTGTCCCTATAGATGAATGGATCTTAAGCAGCCACGTTATATATACACATTACAGCAATGTCCTCATCAGCCGTGGCTCATTGGATTGTAAGCACGCATCTGACTCAAGGTAACCATGAATTAATTTGGTGTAAAAAGAAACATCCCTGAAAAAGATGAGTTGGGCTAATCAAATACAGATGGTCCCTGATTTGTAATGGTTCGACAAAATTTTTTGACTTTACGGTGGTGCAAAATCCATACACATTCAATGGAAGCCATACTTTGAGTACCCATACATCATTCTGTCTTTCACTTTCAGTAAAGTATTTAAGACATTACATGATCTACTCAGTGCCTCATGATAAAATAGACTTTGTGTTAGATGATTCTGCCCAACTGTAGGCTCAGGTAAGTGTTCTAAGCACATTTAAGGTAGACTTGGCTAAGCTATGATGTTTGGTAGGTTAGGTGTATTAAATGCATGTTTGACTTATGATTTTTTCAGGTTACAGTGAGCTCATTGGGATCTAACCTCATCATAAGTCAAGAAGCATCTGTACTTACTTTTGGAAATGAGCATTGGGAAAACAAGAGAATTAACTGTAGGCAATGGAAACACAAAAGTGAGAAAAATAATGAAATACAATCCTGACCAAGAGGGTGCATCACAAATTTCAATTGTAAATAGGCAAAAGCTACGATCATGAGAAAAGATATACAAAATAGAAGTCAAGGACACCGGCAAGAAGAGAATAGAGCAAATATTTGAAAGCATTTGTGTTTCTTTAATGGTGCAATAATTGAGAGAAGATCCACAGAATTTTGCTACTGACTTCTCTAGTGCAGCCTCTTCATGATGCTGGGTTAGACTTTGGTTTCTGTTCTTGGTTTCCCATGCAGCTCTCCCATCCTTTTCTATAATATGTTTTTCTCCTCCCCACCTGCTTCCTTTCTTGAGTTAATGTGTGTGGGTCTCTGTTACTTGCAGCTGAAAGAGCCTAACTGAAATACAGGTACATGGAGGACCCTCCATAAACCATGGCTATTATTGTTAACTTTGAGGTGCATGCATTATTATGAGTTAAACCTGTAAAACCCATAAATAAAGGAAATAGAATATGGTTAGGCAGCAGAAGGAGAATTCCAAGAAACGGTGTTTAAACATGTATTTTAAGAGTTTAGAAGCACTCAGAACTCTGAGTAGGATGAAATAAGATTACCATTTCTTAATCAGAAACACCTATGATAAATTACCCTGTTTGAAGAAATAGCCTATGAACAGAAGGTATGGGCATTTAGCATAGAAGAATAGAGTTCAAATGCTCGATGCCAGCTGTGTTTACTTAGTAACATCTAGCAAGAGAGACAATAAACCCTAGATACACCATTTTTTTTCTATCACTGAGAGAATAGCACTGTTACGGAGCATAGGTGATTCTCTGGGTCTCACCAAAGCCAGGTAGAATATCCCTTCAGCCTATTTCATTAGCTCCAACTTCATGCCCACAAAGAAGTCTTTTCATTGCTATTTTGGTTTTCCAGGTATTCTGATACTAGAAGATGGCCCCAGGATGGAAGACATGAGCATCCCAATGACAGAAAAGGAAAATGTTCTTTTGCAAATTAATATGTGGCTGGTCTAGTTTGTATCCTTTAGTGTGTGTGAGTGTCATAGATGAAAGTCTATCTGACTAGGACCAAGTCTAGAACACTGACAAACACTGGGAGACAAGATTTTTAGGGTGAAACCAAAGAAAAGCCCTTCTGAACAATGTGCTTGTAGAAGACTTGTAACCTTGTGTGGTATAATTAAGATATATACATATAGTCATGTACCATATAACATTTAACAATGGACTGCCTATGTGAAAGGGGTCCCATAAAATTATCATGGAGTTGAAAAATTCCTGTAGCCTAGTATTTACTAAGGGGTATGATATGGTTTGGCCCTGTGTCTCCATTCAAATCTCACCTTGAATTGTAATCTCTATAATCCCCAGGTGTCATGGGTAAGACCAGGTGGAGGTAACTGGATCATGGTGGTGGTTTCCCCCATGCTGTTCTCCTGATACTGAGTGAGTTCTCATGAGATCTGATGGTTTTATAAGCATCTGGCATTTCCCCTGCTTGCACTCACTCCATCCCGCTGCCCTGTGAAGAAGGTGCCTGCTTCTTCTTTGCCTTCTGTCATGATTGTAAGTTTCCTGAGGCCTCCCCAGCAATGTGGAACTGTGACTCAATTAAACCTCTTTCCTTTATAAATTACCCAGTCTCAGGTAATTTTTCACAGCAGCATGAGAATGGACTAATACAGGATACTTCAGAAAGTTTGTGGAAAAATAGAATTAAAATATAAAACTAAAAACTATGAACTTTATTTTTTAACATAAACTCCATCAAGGTAAAGACACTTTTGTAAGCAATAATACTGGCCATTTAGTCCAGCCATAAAGAACTGAGGGTCCTGGGAATTTAAGCCTGTCAATGCAGTCTCTTTTATACTATTAAGTAAAGAAACAATGGATGCCCTTTAAATACTTTTTAAGATTAGGAAACACAAAGAAGTCAGAAAGAGCCAAATCAAGATGGTGAGGTGGAAGCTGGGCATGGTGTCTCATGCCTGTAATCCCAGCACTTTGGGAGGCCGAGGTAGGCGTATCCCTTAAGGTTGGGAGTTCGAGACCAGCCTGGCCAACATGGTGAAACCTCGTCTCTACTGAAAATACAAAAACTAGCCAGGCATGGTTGCACATGCCTGTAATCCCAGCTACTTGAGAGGCTGAGGCAGAAAAATCACTTGAACTCAGGAGGGAGAGGTTGCAGTGAGCTGAGGTTGTATCACTGAACTCCAGCCTGGGTGACAGAGTGAGACTCCATCTCAATAAATAAATAAATAAATAAATAAATACATATATACATACTGTGAGGTGAATGCCTAATGATTTACTATTGAAACTCTCACAAAATGACCTTGTTTGATGACAGGAATGAGCAAGAGCATTGTCATGGTGAAGGACTCTGGTGACGTTTTCCCAGACATTTTTCTGCTAAAGTTTTGGCTAACTTTCGGAAAACATTAATAATAAGTGGATGTTACTGTTCTGTGGCCCTCCAGAAAGTCAACAAGCAAAATACCTTGAGCATCCCAAGAAACTGTTGCTGTGACCTTTGCTCTTGAGTGGTTTGCTTTTGCTGTGACTGCACCACTTCCACCTCTTGGTAGCTATTGCTTTGACTGTGCCTTGTCTCAGGATTGTACTGGTAAAGATGTGTTTCATCTCCTGCTACAACTGTTTGAAGAAATGCTTCAGGATCTTGATCCCACTTGTTTAAAATTTCCATTGAAAGCCCTGCTCTTGTCTGCAGCTAATCTGGATGCAGTAGTTTTGGCACTCAGGGAGTGAAAAATTTGCTTAACTGTAATTTTTCAGTCATTCTGTAAGATGAACAAGTTGAGATATCTATCGTGTTGGTTATTGTTCTGCTGTTAGTCATCAGTCCTCTTCAATGAGGACATGAACAAGATGATTTTTTTTGGTCAAAAATTGATATGGATGGTCTGCCACTGCAAGGCTCATCTTCCACATCATCTCATCCCATCTTAAAACAAGTTATCCATTTGTAAATGGATGATTTCTCTGGGGCATTGTCCTCACAAACTTTGCATAAAGCATCAATGATTTTATCACTCTTCCATCCAAGCTTTACCATAAATTTGATATTTGTTCTCACTTTAATTTTAGCAAAATTCATGTCGCCCTGATAAGGGCTCTTTTCAAACTAGGTCCTGTTCAGACATGTTATAACAAGTTAGTAGTTTATTTGTAAAATACTTGAAATCCATTCATAATTTTTTTTATAATACACACTTTCCATGAACGTTTTGAAGACTCTTTGTGCCATACTTTCTATCATTATTTTAGAGTGTATTCCTATATATAAAAATGGACCTCCATGAGTGTTATTGCCACCTGAAGACCTTGCAGTGGGACAAGATGTGTAGGTGGAAGATAATGATATTGATGGTCCTGACCCTGTGTAGGCCTAGGGCAGTATGTGTGTTTATGTCTTAGTTTTTAACATAATTTTTTTTAAAAAAATCTAAAAATAGAAAAAAGTTATAGAAAAGAATATAAAAAATATTTGTATATACCTGTACATTGTGTTTATGTTTTAAGCTGTTTTATTACAAAAAGTCAAAGTTAAAAACATTAAAACATGCATAAATTTGAAAAGTTACAGTAAGCAAAGATTAATTTACTATTAAAGAAGAGTTTACATGAATTGAGTGTAGCCTAAGTGTACAGTGTTGATAAAGTCGACAGTACTGTAGTGTAACATCTCAGACATCCTAGGTCTTCACATTCACTCACTACTCACTCACTGACTCATCTAGAGCCACTTCCCGTCCTGCAAGCTCCGTTCATGGTAAGTGCCCTATGTGGTGTACCTTGTTAAAAATCTTTTATATTATATTTGTATGGTAACTTTTCTATGTTTAGATACACAATGCTTACCATGTGTTACAGTTGCCTATAGTATTCAGTAAGGTGACATGAGTGTAGCCTAGGAGCAATATGATATACCATCTAGCCTACGTGTGTAGGAGGCTCTACCATCTAGGTTTGTATAAGTTCACTGTGATGTTTGCACAGTGAGGAAATGGCCTTTTCTCAGAAGGCACCCCCTCCGTGGTGCACAACTGTATATTGAGTCTGGTGCCTGACTGTATATTGTTCCCGGTGGCACAGAATCTCTAGAGTGATAAGAATTTCTTTTGTATGCTGATAAGATGACTCCTGGCAGGAGCCCCTAGGTAGCTCCAGGCTGGGAGCTACCACCAGAAAGATGAAGCCATGAGTAGAGAGAGGGTTGGAACTTTCAGCCCTACTCTTTAATTTCATACCTTTGACATACCTCTCCATTGGAATGTCTCACTACAAGTTTAAGGATGACATATTCAAAATGGTGCTCATTACTAATTCCTCATTTCTACTTGCCTTACCTCCATGGGTCATGCTCCCATCTGTTGAGCTTCAAAACTCGGAATGGCCCCAGGACCCAACAGGTCAACCAACACTAACTCTGTGGCTTCCTCCGCTATGTGCGAATCACTAGCATGGCCAGAAATATGGCAGGGGCAAAAAGACACAGCATTTCCCAACACTCTTATCTCCACTGTAATGAAATGCAATTAAAAGATCCAAGGCTCCTCCACCAGTGAAGCTTCTCCTTAGGAATCTTCCTTGCCTCATTCTCTGCAGCTGGCTCCTTCTGCAGCCATTTCCAGGGTGACAGTTTCCCCTCTTCCATCCACCCCCATTTCTATATCTTTATGGTGTGGTGCATATTTATGACGAGTGCGTTGCGGTTGCAGCATTATCGTTCACATTCTGCATCTTGATGATTGCCCCGGGGTTCCCAGTTCAGCTTCCAGCTTTACCCGGGAAAAGAGGGACAGTAGCGTGGACTCCAGAGCAGCAGGCATCATCTGCAGCTCAGCCGCTGCCCGCTCATTATGCATTGTGGTCAAGCCCCAGCCGCTAACTGCGTAGGGCAGAGATTCCCTCTTCAAAAACTTTCCACGTCACCGTGCACGACAGAGTGGTGTTTTGATTTGTGAGGGCTGGCTTCTGCCACAGACGGCTGCTTGGGGCACATTGGGCATTCTCATCACACCGGCGACTTCTCCAATGCTGTGTGCCGGCCACAGGTCGCCTTCTGAACGCTGTACAAGGCCAAGACGTGGGCGCTGAGGTGGGAGTGTCATTCTGAAAGATGCAGTTCACTGAAAAATGCTCACAGAGGCAGTCGTGTGTTTGAGGGTGGCATCATCATAGGTTCTCATTTCCTCAGATGCTCCACTTAATGAGACCTTGGGAGAAAACATAAAAAGCACTTTATCTTTCAGAAGGTTGGCAAGAAATGCACTCGCCCTGCCTATTTACCCAAAGGGAGAAAGGAAAGGGGATCTTGCAAAATTGCACTGTGTAAAATGCAAATGAAGCCAAACCCCTTGAGGAAATTAAGGTATTATAGGCTGTGTATATAAAAACTAAAAGGATCTTACTTTGTATTAAAAGCCAAAACCCACAGTCTTCTGCAACCTCTTGTGTCCTCAAAAGGACGGTAACTTGATTCCTAAGGAAAAAAAAACCTGCTTTTCCCACAGATAACTCAGGATACTATCTGCTTCTTATGCCCCTAGCCTTGCTGCCACCCAGACATCAATGTGTAAACATAGGAAACTGCTTCCATCACTCTCTGAATCCGGAAGATGCATGCAAATATGCATGAGTGAGCAAAAAGACAAGGTAAATACACCAGTATTTCCAGAACATAACTCTAAAGTCAATAGATGTTATTTTCACTTTTCGAGTAGAGGAAAGAATGATGCCTAAAAAGTAAAAGGATGAAGTAATGTCCTTAGTGTGTATTTGTTAACAAATATTCAGAAACCATTTCCTCTGCAGTTGATAGTCCTGTGGAAGCATTATTTGTTTTCTCCCTTCCTTTCCTTCCTTTCTTCCGACTGGGGAAGATTCCTGGAAATGGAACACTGAGTCAGAGGATGAATGCATATAATTTTTTGCTAGGTATTGTGTAACACCCCTAAATAACCATTACCTGTGGTGACAGTTTAAACCTAATAGCCCAGTGACTTCACATGAAGAGGCTTTTGCTTTGTCATTCAAGGTACAGATTCAAGTGAAATGAGGAGCCATTTAGCCATGTAGGGGCTCACACTGATGGGAACTTCATGCTTTGTGATGCCGCCCTCTCAACACTCAAGACTCACCAGGCAGGAAGGGAGCTCATGGGGAACCCAGCCAGTCTTCCCTGTCTCATCCACAAGTGACATAGGTCCTGTCTGCTCATAGCCCACTGACCAGAACTTGTCACATGAGCCTGCTAAACTGCAAAGGTTCAGAATTTGGTGAGCACTTGCTATGCCCAGCCATTTAATCTTTGGGACCATGAATCAAGATTTTGCTAAACAGATGCTCATCAAAGACCTGTTTGTAACAGAAAGGAAAGAAGAAGGAAAGGGAGGGAAGGAAAGAGGGAAAGAAGAGAAGAAGGAAACATGAAACAATTTATGTTTCATGAAAAGTGTGAAACTTTTAGATATACCGTATTGTGGGTTGTACATACAAAAGAAAAACTGAGTAATACGATTCGCGGTATAAACTCGTAGAGTGCCTGGATTTAAATTCTGTTTCCCCTTCTTCCTGTGTAACTGTACTTGGACATATTACTTAAGCTAGACTTTGATTTCTTCAGCTATAAAGTGAGAATAATAATACCAATGTTATAAGGTTACTGGAAGATTAAATTTTAAAAAGAGAATGTCAAGTTCTCAGCACATGGCTGGTTCTAGAAAACGCTCTATTATTTTTTCAGCCATTATGCAAAAAATGTACAGACATGGAAGGGGGTCCACGTAATTCTGAATGGAAAAGAAGCCTCAAAACTCTTTGCTTAGTATTTTAAACATTTATTATTTAAAAATCACAAACACATGCATAGGAAAACCTGGAAGGTACACCAAAATGTGCATTCCACTTATGTTTTATGGCTTTTTTCTTGTAATAACAAAATAGAATTCTATCAAGAAAAGAAAGAAATTAAACTTAGATTAGGTGTATAGCATGCACCAAATTGCTTGTAAAATGGTGAGGCTCCCTTTCCACAGTTTCTTATTCCTATAGCTCATTAGGGAAACTGAAAATATGTCTTCATTACACTTACAAAAATGAGAAACTTTATGTTTTAAGAAACTAGCCTTCCATGCCAGCAAATATGCACATCATCCATTTCCAGAGGCCTTTGGCAAGTCACTTGAATTATTTCAAGAGGAAAAATGTGTCCCTCAGACAAATTTGCATCCACTTTTCATTTCTAATTGCAGCGTCATTCTATGACTCCGCTGCCCTTCTTTTTGCCGACAGCTTCCCGTGAACAGCTGCTGCAGACACTTCCCATCTCTACGTCTGTGGTACTCTGCCTTCAGAGAATTTTCCGCCTGTAAAGGATCCAAGAGAATAACATTTTGGCAATCTCTGTGGCATTTGTGTTTCAATCATTCCATGACTCTGCCCCTACTACTTAAGAGGCTACCATCCCACCTCTGTGCCATTAAATACTACTTCAGGTTTAACTTTAAAATGTTCGCCTGCAGCATTGTGGGCTCTGAAACTTTTTAAAGTAAATTAACAAGTGCCCTTATCTTTACAAAATCACACACTAACTTTCTCTACTGGCAATGTTAGTATTTTTATGGAATAAAGATGAACTAGTGTTTGATATGCTACTAAAGACTCAATTCTCAACAGCTAAAATAAATGTCAGTCAATTGTCACATGTATCAGAAGATGATTTGTTATATGAGATAAGGATTAACACATCTGAAAGCTCTTTCCTCATTTT
The DNA here is from genome assembly GCF_000001405.40 of Homo sapiens. Classification (NCBI taxonomy): domain Eukaryota; kingdom Metazoa; phylum Chordata; class Mammalia; order Primates; family Hominidae; genus Homo; species Homo sapiens. Next base: position 242,601,675 of record NC_000001.11, on the reverse strand, counting down.
GAAAGAGGAAGTATCCATAGAACCCTAAAGATAATCCTATATACCAGGCCAGGCGCAGTGGCTCACGCCTGCAATCCCAGCACTTTGGGAGGCCGAGGCGGGCAGATCACGAGGTCAGGAGTTCGAGACTAGCCTGACCAAGTGAAACCCTGTCTCTACTAAAAATACAAAAATTAGCCAGGTGTGGTGGCAGGCGCCTGTAGTCCCAGCTACTCGGGAGGCTGAGACAGGAGAATTGCCTGTACCTGGAAGGCGGAAGTTGCAGTGAGCCGAGATCACACCACTGCACTGCAGCCTGGACAACAGAGAGAGACTCTGTCTTAAAAAAAAAAAAAAAAAAAAAAAAAAGATAATCCTATACATACCAACTCTAACTTCCCTAGGAGCTTATAATGTTTTCTACAATACAAAATAATATTGTAGTATTTAGTACCCATTCAAAAGCATCACATGCTGACTCTCGTTTGTTGCTCATCTTTTTTTGTATATGTCGTCTTCACTCTGTTGTAGGTACCTTTGATGCAACATCATTTCCTCTCCTCGTGATCACCATGTACTAAGAAGTTCATACATTTGTATGATCAAAAAAATTACTCACTGATCATGGGAATGTCAGTTCACATGTAACAATTTAAAGACAGGAAGATACCCCAAGAAAGATTGGTTAGTGCTTGTTTTCAACTCTGAAATAAAATGATCTTCTGATTTTTTTAAGTCATAGTGCAGCAGAAAGGACACTAAACTGAAAGTCAGTCTCCAACACTGCTAGGAACCAGCAATATAACCTTGGGAGGATGGTTTGACACCTCTAGGTCTTAGCTTTCTTTTTGTCATTACAATTGGAGAAGTTATAAAAATGGTCATTAGAATTATTCCCACTTCTAAAATTCTATGTTGCTACATGCATTTGAGTTCTCAAGGATTAGCTCTGAAAATCCAGGTTTTAAAGTTTACATAGTAAAGTCTCAGCCAAACTGACATAAGCCTCTTTATAGTCTAGTTATTCCACTTAGGGTTAATATGTATACGTCTCATTGCAAACATATTTATGTATTTGATTATGGGAGCTGCCCTTGACACCGCTAGCATTGCTATAGAATGTATGGTATATATCACTTTACTTTTCTAAAATAGAAAAAAAATTCTGACTTTCCAAACATATTCAGCCCAGGATTTGGATAAAGGATGAAGACTTGATTATCACTTGTCAAAGGATGAGGAAACTGAGTCACAGAAAAGTTAACTTGTCCAAAGTCACACAGTAGCAGGTGACAGAGTACAATTCAAGCACAGTCAGTATGACTGACTGCTTTTCACTGCCATGTTACTATTTTTAACTGCCACAGCCACTGCTACTACTGGTGCTACCATAGGGATGACAAAAATCATCATTAATTCTATTTCAAACATATATTGTCAGCACTTATACAACCTTCATTCATGGTACCTCTGTTTATTGAGTAACTTCTTTGTGTTGTGTGAGGCATCATGCTGGCTACTAGAGAAACAGCCCCAGTTCTCAAAGTGTACATTAAATAGATAAAAATAAGAAAAATAACCAAGTAATTAAAGATTTTGGTAAGTGTTATCAAGGAAGTAAAGTACAATAAGCTGGAGTTGGACAAGCTAGTTTAGTTAGGACAGGTCTTTCCTTAACCTTTCCAAGGAAGTCATCTTTCATGAGAACTATAAGATGAGTTAGAAGAAGCCATGGAATGATCCAGGGATAAGTATTTGAGGTAGAGGGAGGTGAAAGTTTGGCTTGCTCTGGAAACAAAAAGCTCCTTTCATCAGGAAAAACTAGAATAAAGTAAATGAGGTTGAAGAAGTTAGAGGCCAGATCACACAGGGATTTGAACCATAAACATAATTTAGATTTTATTCTAAGAAGCACTGAAAAGATTTAAACTGAGAAATGACATGATCATACTATGATTTTAAAAGATCACTCTAGCATTTTCTCTTCTGGTAATAACAAACTGGGTAATTTAGACAAACTACCTGGATTACAAGTAAACTAACCCTTCTGTTAATGGTGGAGGGTGTCCAGGTTCTCGGCATCTTGAACAAAACGCACAAACAAAGCAAGGAAGAAATGAAAGATTTTATTGAAAATGAAAGTACACTCCACAGTGTGGGAGTGGCCTGAACATAGGAGCTCAAAATGGGAGTTTACTCCCTAAAGGGTTCCACTGGTTCCTTCGGGTATGCCCTATGGAGAGGATGAAGTAAAGTTACAAAGACAATTATGGCATGGGCTCTATGGAGAGTATATTTCCTGTTATAGCTGAAGTATGAATTGGCCTTATGTTCCCTGCCTCTAGGCCCTATTTTCCTGCCTCATCTCCCCACTGAGAGATGTGATCCCCATAAATCTTCCTGGGAGGCAGAGGGACCCATGCTTTTTTTCTGTAATTGCTTCATGCTGGCTTGGGGCGTGGTCCCTACCTATTGGGGATCACAGAACTAGCCCTGCTCTATCTAGTGAAGTCAGGGTAGCTTCTTGATGGCTGGCAGCGGGGGCAGGGGGTGGGGGTGTTGTCTTCACCCGGAACCGGATGGGTCTTTTGTTGCATGATTATCTGAAGCTTGATGGTCTCTAGGCAGGAGAAAATGAATTTGGTTAAAAGATTTAATGAGAACTTCAAGGGGTGGCTACCTATGCTGTTAGAAATGTTTGTTATAGAGATTTGCAGGAGAAAAAACAAAACAAAACCTGGTCTGTTCTAGAATCTATGTGTTTCCTTAAAGTCTTAGCACGAGGGACTCCATTTCGGTTTGGTTTGCTGGGGCCTGGTGCATGAGTTCAGTCCAAAACAATGGCCTCCTAGAATTTTGTTTAAAAAATTCCCTCTTTTTGGCTCACTTAGGTGAGAGCATGACCAAAACTTAGGGCCTTTGTGCCACTCTCAGTTACCATCATTTTGGGCTTCTGGTCTCAGCACATCACTTATAGGTTACAGTGTCCTCATGATTGCACATTTCTTCCAGTTCTTGTTATGTCAGTTGAAGAGAGAACATATGACATTCTAGAAATGGCTGCATGAAAGCATTTAAAATTGAGAGAATACAGCACACCAGGAAGACAACTATTATACCTATTGGAAGGATAATACCAAGAGTTTGGAGTACCCTCCTTACCCAAGGTCCCCATAAACCAAACCTCCAAAAATCAAATAGAGCAAAGAATGAGCTAGATAAAGAGTTTACTCATTTGACTAAGCAGTTTCTTCATCAGTCCCCTACCACTGAATTTCTATAATCTTCATTTGATGTATTCTCCCCCCATCCACTCCTCCCCCGCAGGTCACAAGTGCCAGCAGCTGCACAGATACTTCACTGTTAAGCCAATTCTATTATTTAGCATAACTTTCACAAGAGAATTTAAAGTCTATTGTGTAACTATAGCCTTTACAGTAGAATTTGCTATTGAGTATCCCTCATGATACATGTATCCCTCATGATTTCTAATCATTGCTTTTTTTTAAATCGTGAGAAAGGACCTAACAAATGATGCCCTTTTAGAATAGTGAACACCTGCTAGCACTGTTCTCTTTAACCCATGATGTGGGTTAAGAGGAGTGAACCAATGTTTTGTTTTTGACTGATTATGAGGCAACGCACATACCATTAAAGTTTCTTACCTACATTGGGCCTTCATCTTTTATCTATCAAAGTATAAGGTTATCCATGTATAAGGCTGGCTGCAAACTCCTTCACAAACAAAAGTATATCTCATAAGTGCATGTTACAGACTCCCTTCTATTGTTCATAGAGGCATAAGCAAGAAAAAGAATATTCAAAGATAAGAGTTTCATGATAGTAGAAGTCTTAACCTGTGAACTTGGGAAAAGCTGTTCACTTCAAGAAGCCATCTTCTTCTTGGGATAAATTTCCCTGGTTAGCTTTACCTCAAGGGTTCCAATGGGTGCACAGTTCCAAATGTGTGGGGGGACCCTTCTCAGTTTTGAGACCGCGGACCCAAAGCTCAAAGTCCTGAAGTTGTGTTGTAGTGTGGATGGCAAGAATGGTCTTTCTCCAGTGTTCTCAGAAGATCCAAACCATAAAAAGCTTTTTTTACCTGGTGAAAATACACTGTAGCATAATAATCTACTATCAGGGGAACCTGCCCCCAATATTTCAATGTAAGTTCTATTTTCCGTAAGTGTCGGCCAGCTGAGAAATAAAGAGAAAGAGTACAAAGAGAGGAATTTTACAGCTGGGCCACCAGGGGTGACATCACATATTGGTAGGACCGTGATGCCCACCTGAGTCTCAGACCAGCAAGTTTTTATTGAGGGTTTCAAAAGGGGAGGGGTTGTAAAACAGGGAGTAGGTACAAAGATCACATGCTTCAAGGGGGCAAAAAGCAGAACAAAGATCACATGCTTCTGAGGGAACCGGACAAAAGGCAAAACAGAACTACTGATAAGGGTCTATGTTCAGCTGTGCACATACTGTCTTTATAAACATCTTAACAGAAAACAGGTTCGAGAACAGGGAACAGGTCTGACCACAAATTTACCAGGGTGGAGTTTTTCCCCACCCTAATAAGCCTGAGGGTACTGCAGGAGACCAGGGCATATCTCAGTCCTTATCTCAACCGCATGAGACAGACAAACCCAGAGCAGCTGTTTATAGACCTCCCCCCAGGAATGTGTTCCTTTCCCAGGGTATTAATATTAATATTCCTTGCTTGGAAAAGAATTTAGCGATATCTCTCCTACTGGCATGTCCATTTATAGGCCCTCTGCAAGAAGAAAAATTTGGCTCTTTTTGCCCAACCTCGCAGGCAATCAGACCTTATGATTGTCTTCCCTTGTTCCCTAAAATTTGCTGTTATTCTGTTCTTTTTCAAGGTGCACTGATTTCATATTGTTCAAACACATGTTTTACAATCAATTTGTACAGTTAACACAATTTTCACAGTGGTCCTGAGGTGACGTACATCCTCAGGTTACGAAGATAACAGGATTAAGAGATTAAAGTAAAGACAGGCATAAGAAATTAAAAAAGCATTATTTGGCAACTGACAAATGTCCATATTAAAATGGAATCTTCACAACTTATGTTCCTCTGCCGTGGCTCCAGCCGGTCCCTCCATTCGGGGTCCCTGAGTTCCCATAACAATCTACTGTTATAACATCAGCCTTCTTGCATGGGAAAGCTTTTAATACAACCAGAACACGTGAATTGAAGATAACAATTGAATGAAATCTCTTTATAAAATGTTTTAAACAATTTTAAACAATTTAAAATTTAAACTATTTTAAACAATTTCAGTATTAGCTGGTTTAACATGAAAAGTATTTTATTGATATTTAATTAATTTTTTTGTTTTACCTGGGTTAGTAGCTTTATGCAAGGAAATTTGGTTATTTCTGTGATTTACAATAATTTAACAGAATAACTATAATTGTGATTGGTAGTATATACTCAGACATTAGAATTTTAGAAATTCCATACAATTTTGGAATACATATCAGTATTATTCACAAAAATATAACCTAAAGAAGAGTGAACATCATTTTGGCAATCCCATGTACCTAAACATATCAAATAATCCTGTTTACCTCCTTTCTGGATGTTTTCAGGGGCCCTCTTATCCATCCAAAAAGTCAGGCATGAGGAAAGATAATTTTGAAACCTAAGTTTGCTTTTGGAATTCCAGATTACCATAAATTATTTATTTTGCCAAAATGATGACTCAGAAATTTTCTAAAGAAGCAAAAATCTTTTATAACCTTTAACAACAACAACAAAAACCCCACATTCTACTGTTTTTACACACCTTGCATGTAAAACTGTTTCTAGTAGTCTTAATTGCATGTTACAATGGCGACTCTTAGCAATTTTAACTTTAATGTAAAACCTGGTAAGTTATGTTCTGATAAGGTTTGACTATTTCCAGCATAATTAGAGGCATGGCCAACTCCAAATGTCCCCAAGCCTTACCTAGCTGGAAAGCAGACAAGTTAAAGAATTTTCAAAATTTATGACCTTAAAGCTTTTAGCAAACCTAATATTTGAACATAATTTAGACCACATTTTTACATTTTGAAGACATTTGTATTTTACCAATAATCTTGAAAATTGTCTTTATTTCCCGAAGATTACTCAAGTCACATGAACTAAATAAAAGGCATTACATTTTTCACTTTTCTGACAAAATATTTAAGTTCTTATTATTAAACCAATTAATTTAAAACTTTACAGAGGAGATATACAGTGACTTTTACTTTATATATAATCAGTTTGCACAGAGAGGAAGAGGCCAGGGACTGACTGGTAAGAAATTCTTACCCTTTGCTGGCATGCCAGGTTTCTGGGTTCTCCTTGAGCAGCCCTGGTGACCCTGCTTGATTGTATGCAAATAAACACATTGCCATGAATTAAGAATATTCACAAATAATTTACAAATGTTGGACAAGTTAGGCAGAGAGGAGCAATATGATTCAAATTCTATTTACGAAAGTATACTCAACACCCTTAGAGTATTAGGAAGCCTAAAATCTAAAACGTTAGTTTATAAGGATAAAAAGCTGGTGTGCTCCATTAATTCCTGTGGCCTGACAAAGGTAGCTTAGGAATTCCAGATAAATGGAACGAATAATAACTTGCTAGAAATGCGTAGGAACATAGAACTAAACAAAAGCCTTCCACTGGGAACTAAAAAAACAAACAAACAAAAAACAAAAACAAACAAACAAACATGGTTTTATATATATGGATACACAAGTAAAGCCAGAGGAGAATAAACAGCAAACAAATGAAAACTAGAAGCAAAAACAAATAAACAGAAAACCAACCCTAAATTTTCCTACTCAATTTACCCTGGAGGCTACAGTGTTACCCAGGGCCCCCCAAAAACCCACATAATGAATATTTTATTCCTGATACACAATTCAATATCCTTAAGTTCATCAATATCATTATACATTCTATGCAAACAATAAACATAGTGTGAGGTAATGCAAACATGTATGTGAAATTTGGCTTTACACCAAATCCAGCTTCATGCTTAACTATATTAAAAAAAGAATTGTCAAACTGCCTATTATTTTTCTTCAATCAAGACTAAGAGCTTTAACTATGAAAATGTTAGTTAGCCAAATGTCTCCCATTCTCTATCAGGTTTTAAAGAATATTTTATTATTTAAACTTTTTCCACATCTTTCTCTCCTACTGAATGATTCCTGACTACACTGTTCAAATCTACACCTTTTCAAATCTGTAATTTCAACTAACTTTTAGATAAATTCTGAATTAGACAAAATTATTCTTTTTACCACTAAAAACATAACTCTGTCTGGCACGTTTTGTATACAGAATTACATGTGAACTAGAATTTTATCCTTAGTAATCTAAAACTTTAGTGAAACCCTGAGAAGCAGGAAATCCTGAACTATTAGGTATAGGCATTTATGGATAAGAACAATTCCACAATTTTAGAAACGTATTTCCCCATATCACAACCCTTTCTTGAAATGACCCAGATATTAAATGAGCATTAAAAATAACTTTAAGATTTTAATTTACACAAAAAGCTTACCTAAAACATATATCCCATTCACTGTACTTAATTTTTTACTTTTAACAAGGGAGACATGAGACATCAATCAACATATGTAAAATAAACACTGGTTTGATCCGGAAAGGCAGGAGGGGACTTGGGGGCTTTCAGATTACAGGTGGGAGACAAAGGGTTGCATTCTTTTGAGTTTCTGATTAGCCTTTCCAAAGAAAGCAATCAGATATGCACTTATCTCAGTGAGCCTTTGAATAGAATGGGAGGCAGGCTCCCCCCAAGCAGCTCCCAGCTTGAATTAACACTGATATTTAAAAATATCTAGCAAAGACAAACATAAAATTCCGACAAAATGTATGCTGACAATTCTGAAGGCCTTTCTATTTTTATTCTGCCAATAATTTTAAAGCTAGCTTGTTTAGTAAAGTAATACTTTAAGTCACGTGAACTTGAAAATTACTTAGACTTATTTAATGTATGAACAGTATCTTACTTATAAGCCAATTTTGGTAAACACAACATATAACAATAAGTGTACATGTAAATATCTAGACATGTATACATACACATAGATGATGATCCAATAGCTTGGAACCTTAGCCATGAGATAGCAATACAAAGTTGCCAGTTTTACTTTGTCCTAAAAGATAATCCAATGAAGGCTGTGAACCAAAATTTTGGGAAAGCAGTCTCCATTGGCAGTTTGTATTTTATTTTATTATCTTTTTTTTTTTGAGATGGAGTCTCACTCTATTGCCCAGAATGGAGTGCAGTGGTGTGATCTTGGTTCACTGCAACCTCCACCTCCCAGGTTCAAGTGATTCTCCTGCCTCAGCCTCCCCAGTAGCTGGGATTACAGGTGGATGCCACCATGCCTGGCTAATTTTTGATTTTTTAGTGAAGACAAGGTTTCACCATGTTGGTCAGTCTGGTCTCAAACTCCTGACCTCAAGTGATCTGCCCACCTCAGCCTCCAAAAGTGCTGGGATTACAGGCATCAGCCACCACCCACCACACCCTGCCTGCAGCTTGCTTTTTATTTATTTGTTTTTTAATTTATTATTATTATTATACTTTAAGTTCTGGGGTAGATGTGCAGAACATGCAGGTTTGTTACATAGGTATACACGTGCCATGGTGGTTTGCTGTGCTCATCAACCCCTCATCTACATTAGGTATTTCTCCTAATGCTATCTCTCCCCTAGCCCCCCACACCCCCCACCCCGCCCCACCGAACAGGCCCCAGCATGTGATGTTCCCCTCTCTGTGTCCACGTGTTCTCATTGTATAACTCCCACTTATGAATGAGAATATGCAGTGTTTGGTTTTCTGTTCTTGTGTTAGTTTGCTGAGAATGATGGTTTCCAGCTTTATCCATGTCCCTGCAAAGGACATGAACTCATCCTTTTTTGTGACTGCATAGTATTCCATGGTGTATATGTGCCACATTTTCTTTATCCAGTCTATCATTGATGGGCATTTGGGTTGGTTCCAAGTCTTTGCTATTGTGAATAGTGCCGCAATAAACATACATGTGCATGTGTCTTTATAGTACAATGATTTATAATCCTTTGGGTATATACCCAGTAATGGTATATTGCTGGGTCAAATGATATTTCTGGTTCCAGATCCTTGAGGAATAATCACACTGTCTTCCACAATGGATGAACTAATTTAAACTCCCACCAAGAGTGTAAAAACATTCTTATTTCTCCACATGCTCTCCAGCATCTGTTGTTTCCTGACTTTTTAATGATCACCACTCTAACTGGCGTGAGATGGTATCTCATTGTGATTTTGATTTGCATTTCTCTAACGACCAGTGATGAGCATTTTTTCATGTTTGTTGGCTGCATAAATGTCTTCTTTTGAGAAGTGTCTGTTCATATCCTTTGCCCACATTTTGATAGAGTTTGCTTTTTTTCTTGTAAATTTAAGTTCTTTCTAGATTCTGGATATTAGCCCTTTGTCAGATGGATAGATGGCAAAAATTTTCTCCCATTCTGTAGGTTGCCTGTTAACTCTGATGATAGTTTCTTTTGCTGTGCAGAAGCTCTTTAGTTTAATTGGATCTCATTTGTCAATTTTGGCTTTTGTTGCCCTTGCTTTTGGTGTATTAGTTGTGAAGCCTTTGCCAATGCCTATGTCCTGAATGGTATTGCCTAGGTTGTCTTCTAGGGTTTTTATGGTTTTTGGTCTTACATTTAAGTCTTTAATACATTTTGAGTTAATTTTTGTATAAGGTGTAAGGAAAGGGTCCAGTTTCAGTTTTCTGCATATGGCTAGCTAGTTTTCCCAACACCATTTATTAAATAGGGAATCCTTTCCCCATTGCTTGTTTGTTTTTGTCATGTTTGTCAAAGATCAGATGGTTGTAGATGTGTGGTGTTATTTCTGAGGCCTCTGTTCTGTTCCATTGTTCTATATATCTGTTTTGGTACAAGTACCATGCTGTTTTCGTTATTGTAGCCTTGTAGTATAGTTTGAAGTCAGGTGGCATGATACCTCCAGCTTTGTTCTTTTTGCTTAGGATTGTCTTGGCTATGCAGTCTCTTTTTTGGTTCCATATGAAATTTAAAGTAGTTTTCTCTAATTCTGTGAAGAAAGTCAAAGTTATCTCAACGGGGATAGCATTGAATCTATAAATTACTTTAGGCAGTATGGCCATTTTCACAATGTTCTTTCTATCCATGAGCATGGAATGTTTTTCCTTTTATTTGTGTCCTCTCTTATTTCCTTGAGGAGTTGTTTGTAGTTCTCCTTGAAGAGGTCCTTCACATCCCTTGTAAGTTGTATTCCTAGGTATTTTATTCTGTTTGTAGCAATTGTGAATGGGAGTTCACTCATGATTTGGCTCTGTTTGTTATTGGTGTATAGGAATGATTGTGATTTTTGTACGTTAATTTTGTATCCTGAGACTTTGCTGAAGTTGCTTATCAGCTTAAGGAGATTTTGGGCTGACATGATAAGGTTTTCTAAATATACAATCATGTCATCTGCGAACAGAGACAATTTGACTTCCTCTTTTCCTATTTAAATACCCTTTATTTCTTTCTCTTGCCTGATTGCCTTGGCCAGAACTTCCAATACTATGTTGAACAGGAGTGGTGAGAGAGGGCATCCTTGTCTTGTGCCAGTTTTCAAAGGTAATGCTTCCAGTTTTTGCCCATTCAGTATGATAGTGGCTGTGGGTTTGTCATAAATAGCTCTTATTATTTTGAGATACGTTCCATCGATACCTAGTTTATTGAGAGTTTTTAGCATGAAGGGGTGTTGAATTTTGTCAAAGGCCTTTTCTGCATCTATTGAGATAATCATGTGGTTCTTGTCATTGGTTCTGTTTAAGTGATGGATTATATTTATTGATTTGTGTATGTTGAACCAGCCTTGCATCCAAGGGATGAAGCTGACTTGATCATGTTGGATAAGCTTTTTGATGGGCTGCTAGATTCAGTTTGCTAGTATTTTATTGAGGATTTTCCTATACATGTTTGTCAGGGATATTGGCCTGAAATTTTCGTTTTCTGTCGTGTCTCTGCCAGGTTTTGGTATCAGGATGATGCTGGCCTCATAAAATGAGTTAGGGAGGATTCCCTCTTTTTCTATTGTTTGGAATAGTTTCAGAAGGAATTGTACCAGCTACTCTTTGTACCTCTGGTAGAATTTGGCTGTGAATCCATCTGGTCCTGGACTTTTTTTGGTTGGTAGGCTATTAATTACTGCCTCAATTTCAGAACTTTTTATTGGTCTATTCAAGGACCTGACTTCTTCCTGGTTTAGACTTGGGAGGATGTATGTGTCCAGGAATTTATCCATTTCTTCTAGATTTTCTAGTTTATTTGCGTAGAGGTGTTTACAGTATTCTCTGATAGTAGTTTGTATTTCTGTGGGATCGGTGGTGATATCCCCTTTATCATTTTTTATTGTGTCTATTTGCTTCTTCTTTCGTTCTTTACTAGTCTGGCTAGCAGTCTATTTTGTTGATCGTTTAAAAAAATCGCCTCCTGGATTCATTGATTTTTTTTTTTGAAGGGTTTTTTCACGTCTCTATCTCCTTTAGTTCTGCTCTGATCTTAGTTGTTTCTTGTCTTCTGCTAGCTTTTGAATTTGTTTGCTCTTGCCTCTCTTGTTCTTTTAATTGTGATGTCAGGATGTTGATTTTAGATCTTTCCTGGTTTCTCTTGTGGGCATTTAGTGCTATAAATTTCCCTCTAAACATTGCTTTAAATGTGTCCCAGAGATTCTGGTAAGTTGTGTCTTTGTTCTCACTGGTTTCAAAGAACATCTTTATTTCTGCCTTAACTTTGTTATTTACCCAGTAGTCATTCAGAAGCAGGTTGTTCAGTTTCCATGTAGTTGAGCGGTTTTGAGCAGGTTTCTTAATCCTGAATTCTAGTTTGATTGCACTGTGGTCTGAGATACTGTTTCTTATGATTTCTGTTCTTTTGCATTTGCTGAGAAGTATTTTACTTCTAATTATGTGGTCAATTTTATAATAAGTGCAATGTGGTGCTGAGAAGAATGTATATTCTATTGATTTGGGGTGGAGAGTTCTGTAGATGTCTATTATGTCTGCTTGATCCGGATCTGAGTTATCTTTATTGTTTTTCTATCTTGTTGATCTAATATTCACAATGGGGTATTAAAGTGTCCACTATTATTGTGTGGGAGTGTAAGTCTCTTTTTAGGTCTCTAAGAACTTGCTTTATGTATCTTGGTGCTGCTGTATCGGGTGCATATATATTTAAGATAGCTCTTCTTGTTGCATTGATCCCTTTACCATTATGTAATGACCATCTTTGTCTCTTTTGATCTTTGTTGGTTTAAAGTCTGTTTTATCAGAGACTAGGTTTGCAACCCCTGCTTTTTATTTTTTTCCATTCTTGGTGAATATTCCTCCATCCCCTTGTTTTGAGCCTATGTGTTTCTTTGCATGTGAGATGGGTCTCCTGAATACAGCACACCGATGGGTCTTGACTCTTTATCCAATTTGTCAGTCTGTGTCTTTTAATTGGGGCATTTAGCCTATTTACAATTAAGGTTATTATTTTTATGTGTGAATGTGATCCTGTCATTATGATGTTAGCTGGTTATTTTGCCCGTTAGTTGATGCAATTTCTTCATAGTGTCGATGGTCTTTACAGTTTGGCATGTTTTTGCAGTGGCTGGTACCAGGTGTTTCTTTCCATGTCTAGTGCTTCCTTCAGGGGCTCTTGTAAGGAAGGCCTGGTGGTGACAAAGTCTGTCAGCATTTGCTTGTCTGTAAAGGATTTTATTTCTCCTTCACCTATGAAGCTTAGTTTGGCTGGATGTGAAATTCTGGGTTGAAAATTCTTTTCTTTAAGAATGTTGACTATTGGCCCCCACTCTCTTCTGGCTTATAGGGTTTCTGTAGAGAGATCCTCTTTTAGTCTGATGGGCTTCCCTTTGTGGGTAACCCAGCCTTTCTCTCTGGCTGTGCTTAACACTTTTTCCTTCATTTCAACCTTGATGAATCTGGTGATTATGTGTCTTGTGATTGCTCTCCTTGAGGAGTATCTTTGTGGTGTTCTGTGTATTTCCTGAATTTGAATGTTGGCCTGTCTTGCTAGGTTGGGGAAGTTCTCCTGGACAATACCCTGAAGAGTGTTTTCCAACTTGGTTCCATTCTCCCCGTCACTTTCAGGTACACCAATCAAATGTAGATTAGGTCTTTTCACATAGTCCTATTTTCTTGGAGGCTTTGTTCATTCCTTTTCATTCTTTTTTCTCTAATCTTGTCTTCATGCTTTATTACATTAAGTTGATTTTGAATCTCTGATATCCTTTCTTCCACTTGATTGATTCAGCTATTAATACTTGTTTGTGCTTCTCAAAGTTCTCGTGCTATGTTTTTCAGCTCCATCAGGTCATTTATTTTCTTCTCTAAGCTAGTTGTTCTAGTTAGCAATTCATATAACCTTTTTTCAAGGTTTTTTGCTTCCTTGCATTGGGTTAGAACATGCTCCTTTAGCTCGGGGGAGTTTGTTATTACCGACCTTCTGAAGCCTATTTCTTTCACTTGATCAAACTCATTCTCCATCCAGTTTTGTTCCCTTGCTGGCAAGGAGTTATGATCCTTTGTAGGAGAAGAGGCATTCTGGTTTTTGGAATTTTCAGCCTTTTTGCGCTGGATTCTCCCTATCTTCGTGGATTTATCTACCCTTGGTCTATGTTGGTGACCTCCAGATGGGGCCTCTGAGTGGATGTCCTTTTTGTTGATGTTGATGCTATTCCTTTCTGTTTGTTAGTTTTCCTTCTAACAGTCAAGCCCCTCTGCTGCAGGTCTGCTGGAGTTTGCTGGAGGTCCACTCCAGACCCTGTTTGCCTGGGTATCACCAGCAGAGGCTGCAGAACAGCAAAGATTGCCGCCTGTTCCTTCCTCTGGAAGCTTCGTCCCAGAGGGGCACATGCCAGATGCCAGCCAGAGCTCTCCTGTATGAGGTGTCTGTCAGCCCCTACTGGGAGGTGTCTCCCAGTCAGGAGACATGGGGGTCAGGTACCCACTTGAGGAGGCAGTCTGACCCTTAGCAGAGCTCGAGCGCTGTGCTGGGAGATCCACTGCTTCTTCAGAGCCATCTGGCAGGGACATTTAAGTCTGTTGAAGCTGCACCCACAGACATCCTTTCCTCTATGTGCTCTGTCCCAGGGAGATGGGGGTATTATCCATAAGCCCCTAACTGGGACTGCTGCCATTTTTTCAGAGATGCGCTACCCAGAGACGAGGCATCTAGAGAGGCAGTCTGGCCACAGAGGCTTGGCTGAGCTGTGGTGGGCTCCACCCAGTTCGAACTTCCTGGCAGCTTTGTTTACACTGTGAGGGTAAAACCACCTACTCAAGCCTCAGTAATGGCAGATGTCCCTCCCCTCACCCAAGCTCGAGCATCCCAGTTCGACCTCGGACTGCTGTGCTGGCAGCGAGAATTTCAAGCCAGTGGATCTTACCTTGCTGGGCTCTGTGGTGGTGGTACCCACGGAGCCAGACCACTAGGCTCCCTGGCTTCAGCCGCCTTTCCAGGCGAGTGAACGGTTCTGTCTCGCTGGTGTTCCAGGCGCCACTGGGGTATGAAAAAAAAAAAAAAAACTTCTGCAGCTAGCTCCGTGTCTGCCCAACTGGCTGCCCAGTTTTGTGCTTGAAACCCAGGGCCCTGGTGGTGTAGGCACCCGAGGGAATCTCCTGGTCTGCGGGTTGTGAAGACCATGGGAAAAGCACAGTATCCGGGCCGGAGTGCATGGCTCTTCACGGCACAGTCCCTCACGGCTTCCCTTGGCTAGGGGAGGGGATTCCCTGACCCCTTGAGCTTCCTGGGTGGCGCAACACCCCTCCCTGCTTCGGCTTGCCCTCCATGGGCTGCACCCACTGTCCAACCAGTCCCAGTGAGATGAACTAGGTACCTCAGTTGGAAATGCAGAAATCACCCACCTTCTGCGTCGCTCTCGCTGGGAGCTGCAGATGGGAGCTCTTCCTATTTGGCCATCTTGCCAGCAATCTCTGCAGTTCGCTTTTTAAAGGCCAAACCTCCCCAGACTCCAAAGAACACTGGGGCCAAACCATACCAAAGGAGGTCATCACATGTTAACCAGGCCCCCTGCTTAGAACTGCAGCACAAAAGCCTGGATACATGCAACACTATTCTACTTTCCCATTCAACAGTGAACTCCAGATTCCAAACAATGTTGGGGCCAAATGCCAAACAGCATTGCAACTGTGAGAGATGATTCTAAGGAGGGCTTAATACTACACTTCAGAACCTCTGCCAAGAGCATCTTCTTTGGAGTGGTTGCGGTTCGCAGAACCCGTGGAATGTCCTCCTGTGGGGTCCAATCTTAGAGTTCCTGATGTCTCTGGCCTTAGGTGGGCACCACATGCAGGTTTTTCCCTCCAGAAAATACTGTGAGCTTTATAAAAATAACCATGAACTATAATGTGAAGCGGATGCCTGGTGGGCTTTTTTGTCCTTAGCCAATTGAGTATGATAAAGGAAGAATTTAGCATAAGAAAAGAAGGTTTAAGTCCCCTGAAACATGTGTGAGTTTGCTCTAAGCTGTGCCTCACATAGGGATCAGGGGCCACCCCCAGAAAAGATTTTTAAAAAGTCCTTCTCCCTTCAGGGCAGGACAATTATTCCTGTTCATTCCTAGCCCTTCAGGTAGGACCAGGGAGTAATCCCAGCCAATTGCCCTCAATTTCCAAGGAGCTATTAGCAAACAGCTGCTCAAAGACTGAAAAGAGAGGGGAAAAAAAACATGAAAAATACCCAGGTTCCTTAAGCAAACCAGGCGGTGGTGGTCAGGCTCCTCCACAGGGAACCCCCTTAGTTTCACTGGCCACTGCCAGAAACCAGCAGTTGCTTCCATGTTTAGGCGCCGCCCACCAAGGGTCCCGGGTTGGAAAGAAAAAGAGAGAGAGACTCCCCTGTATGGAGCAGAAAGGAAAAGGAGAAAAAAGAATAAATCCCAAACTTTGGGCTTACCTCTTCCTCCTGGCTGGCTCGCCAAAGTATGTTAACGGTGGAGGAGGGCGTCCAGGTTCTTGGCATACTGAACAAAGAATTGGATGTAACACACAAACAAAGAAAGGAAGCAATAATAAAGGGTATTATTGAAAATGAAAGTACACTCCACAGTGTGGAAGCGGGCCTGAGCATAGGGGCTCCATGGCCCCATTACAGAATTTTTGAGAGTTTACCCCCTATGATTCCATTGGTTACTTCTGGTATGTAACCAGTGGAATGTAGCCCTATGTATGGAGAGGATGTAGCCCTATGTAAATGGAGCCCTATGTAAATGGGGTATGTAGCCCTATGTAAATGGAGTATGTACATACATGGGGTATGTAACCCTATGTAAATGGAGAGGATGAAGTAAAGTTACAAAGTCATTTATGGCATATGCCCTATGGAGAGGATATTTCCTGTTATAGCTGAAGTGTAAATCGGCCTATTTTCTGGCCTCCAGACCCTATTTTCCTGCCTCACTTCCATGGGCTGGAGCCCAGACATGAATGATTTCAGCTCCAAAATTGGACTACAGTAATTCTGGATTGCTAATGACCCCAAGTGCCTGCACATGTTAGGGAGGGGGAGTGGAGGAATATAAAAACTGTCTCCTAATTTGATAAAGTGTATCTACAAAAAACTTATCCCAAACATTAACCTTATTGGTAATGTTGAAAACATTCCCATTGATATCAGGAACAAAACACTAGTACCCACCATTAGCACTACTGTTCTACAATATACTGAAGTTCATGTCCAGTGCAATGTATCGAGTAAAAGAGATATGAATAAAGTTGGGAAGAAAGAAAAAAATTATTGTATAGTAAGGAATTTGTCTTCCAAAGAGAGGTCTGGCCTTTGCCCCGCCTCCTGGTAGGTAGGTAACCTCTAAATACTTGGAATTTCCTGAATGGTAAGGATGTCCTTGTTATTTGTGATGGGCCCCTCAGACCTCACTTTATAGTTTATATACTAATGAGATGATTCATATCAGCCTATCCTCTGTGGAGACGTGGCTAGAGATTGAGTTCAGCCACATGGACAATGATTCCATTGATCACGCCTGTGCAATGAAGCCCCAGTATAACTTCTGGTCACAGAAGCTCAGGTTAGATTCCCTGGTTGGCAGCACTCTGTGCACATCGTCACATATGGTCAGAAGGAGGTAATGCCATCCATGTGAGAACCCAAAGGGGGAAGACAGCCAGAAGCTCCACACCTTCTCACACCCTGCCTTCTCTGTCTCTTCCTTTGGATGGTTATAATTTTTATCCTTTCCCTTAACAGCCATAACTGTCAGTATCATAGCTTTCAGTGAGTTCTGAGAGTCTTTCTAGCAACTTTCAAACCTGAGGTTGGTTTTGAAAAATCTCTGAACTTGCACTTGGTGTCTTGGGCAGACTTGGCAGTCTGGAGAACTATGCCCTTAACCTCAAGTTTCACTAACTACAGATATTATTCACAAATGATATGATTGTTTACATAGAAAAAATAGAAACTGATCAATTATTAGATGGGCAAGTTTAACAAGATTTGTAGATTTATGGTTAATATGAAAAATTTAATTATATTAGTACCATCAACAATTCCAAAATTTACACTAAAAAATACTATTTTTAGTAATATCAAAAATATATGCCTAAGAATAAATTTCAAAAAAGTTGGGAGAGACTTTGATGTAGAAAACTACAAACATTTTTAAGGGAAATTTAAAATGATCTGAATACAGCAAGAGATGGATCATCTTCCTGAATTAAAGACTGAGTATTTTAAAGATGTCAGTTATCCACAACTGATCTATAAATTCAACAAAATCCCAATTACTACCCAATAAGTTTCTTGTTATATCTTGGTCAGTCAGTTTGAAAGTGTAGTGTTAAATACGGAGCGAAGAATAGTCAAAACACACATGAAGAACAACAGTATGAGAGAATTGTCCTATCAGATAGCAACTAAGTTGGCCAATCGCTATTGTTGTAGAGATAGGCAAATAAAATAACAGAACAGAGTAGAAAGCTCAAGGACAAGTTCACTTATAGTATATTGACACTTGATTTAGGACAAATGTGGCATCAGAGAGCAGTTGGGAGAAAATAAATCCCCTTAATAAATGGTGCCAGAACAATAAAATGTTTATATAGACCTCTACTTCACCCTAAAATTCAATTCCAGATCTAAATGTGAAAAGCAAGACAATAAAAATTTTAGAGAATAATAGATGAGCATATCTTTAGAATCTCATAATAAGCTAATTTTAAAGTACTAATCATAAAGGAAAAACACTTAATTGAATACATTAAAATCAAGCATTTCCATTAATAAAAAGTCATCAAGAGAGATAAAAGGTAAGCCCCCTGAACGTAAGAAATATTTGCAGCCCGCTTACCCAACCAAGGGGCTAGTATTGTTAACACAAAGGACTAGAAATCAATAAGAAAAGTCAGACATCCCATTAGAAAACTAGACAAAAGATTTGAATACGAACTTTAGAAAAGAAGATACTCAAATGGCTAGCAACCGTATAAGATGTCAATCTCACTCCTACCAGGGAAACAGGAATTAAAATCACTGTGAGATACCAGATATGCTAACAAAGAGACTGACTAAAAATGGCACACTGTTTGTAAAGATGTGGAGCAATTGGCACTGTTCACACTGCTGGAAGTAAGGCAACTGGGCACAATCACTTTGGAAATAATATGACATGTCCCAGTTGAATATACATTTGATGAGTCAATCCACTTCTAGGTATGCACCAAACAGAAATAAATGTGCATATGCTCCAGGCAGTGGTGTGCTGGAAGTAGCTTGCGCCAGCTTGGGATTGCTGTCTGTGCACATCTCTTCCCAACTTCACATTCAGTGACTTTGCATTGGTAGCTCAAAATAAGCTATATGGTGGAATTTGTACCACAGAAATAGGCAGATGCAACAACCAGGGATTTCTCTCTGGAGAATCAGTTGTTAAACATTTACCAGCCTGGCAAGGGGTTCAGGAAAAGTATACAAAAGAATCTTCTTTTTTTGTTTGTTTTTTTCTTTGAGATGGAGTTTCCCTCTTGTTGTCTAAGCTGAAATGCAATGGTGAGATCTCAGCTCACTGCAACCTCTGCCTTCTAGGTTCAAGCGATTCTCCTGCCTAAGCCTGTCAAGTAGCTGGGATTACAGGCCCCCACCACCATGCCCGGCGAATTTTTGTATTGTTAGTAGAGACGGGGTTTCATCATGTTGGCCAGGCTGGTCTTGAACTCCTGACCTCAGGTGATCCTCCTGCCTCGGCCTCCCAAAGTGCTAGGATTACAGATGTGAGCCACTGCGCCCAGCCAAGAATCTTCTTAGAAGCATTATTTATAACATGCTCAAACAGAAACCATCCAAATGTCATTTAAGAGTAGGATGAGTAAATATTTTTTAATTGTTAATATAACGGAATACTATATGCAATAAAACAAACCCACTGGAGCCACACCCAGCAACATGGATAAATCTCCTAAGCATAATATTGAACAACAACAAAACAATAAAAACAGCTAAACACAAAAAAGGATTTCTGTGGTATGATTCCATTTATATGAAGCTCAAAATTATTTAAAGCTGAACTATAGTTTTTAGGAATGCAAACTAAAAAGATAAAAGTTTGAAGAAAAGCAATAAAGTGACAACTATTGATATTGTGGTAATAATTATATTCAGAGGGGAAAAATGTTATTAGGAATCAGGAGTGGGTGGATAAGGATGCTTCTGTGGTGCTGACGACGTTCTATTTCTTGATCTTGGCTGTGGTTACACAGGTGTTTATATTTCATTAAACTGTATATTTGGTTTTCAGATAATTGTATATAAGGGACTATAGTCAATAATGGTCCTACCTCCCAGGATGAAGATAAATAAATACATGGAAAGCTCTTTGCAGTGGGCTTGCAATATAGTAAGCACTAATTACAAGTGAGCAAGTGGTAGGAGTAATATAACGTAAGATTTTTAAAGTGGAATCTGCTCAAAGAAATGGAAACTTTATATAAAGGAGTTAGAATGGTATTCCAATTGGATATGATAATCATAAAGCATACAATTTATATTCATTTTAATCACTTTCTTCTTCAATATAGGCCAGATCTCGTGCTGGGATCTGGTTAAACCAAAGTGGATAAGACACAGCCCCTGCCTTTGAAGCCTAAGACTAGCGAAGACAATGCATTCATTTATTTGTACATTTCACAGACCTTTGGTTGGTCTGTGCTGTGTACCAGGTATTAGAAATAGAAGTAACTATTTCAAGGACTGTGCATGCAATTCTAGAAAGACATAAATAAGCACATCAGAATATTAGTGCTATGGCAGAGATAGGTGAACAGTGAAATGGGGGAAGAGCTAACTAAGAGCCACATGCTACAGGAGTAAATGGGGTGCTGGAAATTCTGAATGAACTCAATCTACCTCCGTACCACACTCATACTAGTTAGAGAAAGAGCTAAAAATTTCACTTTCCAGACTCCCCTATAACAAGGGCTTTACATGCAAATTAGTCTTACAATTAGATGCGTTCATGAGATGCAGAAGGTAGGATTGAGGTGGGGCCATCTTTTGCAATTACTGGCCCTTTCTGATGGTATGTGAGGCCAAGAAAGTGGAAAGTTTCCCTGTAGCGGTATCCCTGTGTCAATTCTCTGGTATCTTGGGTGTCAAGGAATTGTGGAGGCAGCAACAATTTCATGATCCAGCTCCCTGGTCCGTGGATTAGATTTAGGTGTCTGTTCTCCATCTACCTAGTTGTTGAGAAGTAACTGAGGCATCAGGAGCCTTTTGCTGCCAGTACGGCTCCAGGGGTGTCCACTGAGGTAGCAGCATCTCTAGTGAAACAGTTGTGTCTTGTTCTGTAAGATCCCTGAAGGCCCAGATGGAATCAGCTCCTTCAGCCTTTCCAACACTGTTGTCAGGACCTCCTCCCTATATTTAATCTCTTTCTACTTCGAATGACTTCTATTTTCTGAGCTGAGTCGTGGAATAGTACAGATGGAAGCATGAGTTTTCATTTACTGAAATTCACTGGAGTAAAGACGTTTACACGTTTCTCATTATAACCGACACCAAGATAATGTGTATTGTTCTAAATGCCATTTTTTCTTTAGGAAACTCTATTTTGTATTTATAGGGGCCAGTTCTACAGATGCACTACCAAAAGTGAAACCGACACATGCAAACATAGTCTCCCAATTTTCTTAAGAATATTTAGTACATGTAATAGGAATACAGCTGTCTTATTGCAAAGGACATTTTTCCTTTGCTGAAGTTGAGTAGTGATGTATGCCAAATGTATTGATGCTTGTGCTGCATACTTTGATTCTTGGAAACTCCTGGGACCAAAGGGTAAATTGACTGAAACAGGTAAGTGAAATATAGGCTGATAAATTTTTGTACTTATTTTCAAGGATGAGATAGATTAAATGAA
This sequence comes from Homo sapiens, assembly GCF_000001405.40. Classification (NCBI taxonomy): domain Eukaryota; kingdom Metazoa; phylum Chordata; class Mammalia; order Primates; family Hominidae; genus Homo; species Homo sapiens. The sequence continues at coordinate 242,580,182 of NC_000001.11, read as the reverse complement.
TAAATAAATAAGACACTACTCTCCCAGCCACTATTTGTTTGTTTAAGGAATTCTGAGCATTACACTGGAGATTTCCCAGAAGAAATCTGTTTCTTGAATTCCCAAGAGCTGAGCATAAAGGGAATTGGCAAATGCTGATTCATCAACACACTTCCTTGAAGAAAATGGTCCCCTGAACACAATAAGAAACCACCCAGGTAGAATTCACTCCCAGGCTTTCTAAACAAGGAAAAACATATTTCACTACTTAACAAGACACTGGTTGTCTTACATTCTCCACGTGGCTTCCTGAGATGTGGAGAGTCCTTTTAATGTCTATTTTTTCCCCTTGGGCAGGATTCAGGAGAGAAACATGAGGCACAAAGCTTGTACACAGTAGGTTCTCAAAGAGTATCTCTTCAGTTGATTATTAGCCATGACCAAAACCACAAGCCAGCCAGTCCTTGACTTCTCTTAAAGGACAGGAATGCTCACCTTTTATCAAGGACTCACTATGTCTAGCCTGTTCCAGCACTTCAGGTACATTGTACTTTATTTAATTCTCAGACAAAGTCTGTGAAGTGGATTCCATAGAACCCACAGCAATACCTGTTCCCTGTATACAAGCAAGAGACTTTTGCTCAAACTCACATTACCGAAAGGTTAGAGCCAGGAATGTAAAGCAGAGTTGACTTCCTTTAGGAGCCCATGGTGTATGCTGTGGGCACAATACACCACAGATGTGACTTTTTATGGGCATTGAATGTGCCCAAATGTGGAGCTACAGCCCCAGCTCAATTTCTCTCACAGTTTCCAACTGTTTCCAAAAGGCTCTGAAATAGTCAAAGACCACAGAACAGTATTTTCAGTAGAAATGTTTACTTGTGTTTCCTGGCAGAACAAGGCCAGGGCACCAACTTGTTTGCTTGTTTCTTTTAGAAATTCAGGTTATGGGGATGTATGATGTGGATGATAAGGCAGAATGCCTGCATTGCATCACAGGATACGCTTTGCAGCACGTAGCTTCTTAGGGAAGAACTGTGCACAGAACTAGGCATTCCCGTGGCATCATGTGCCCAATGCACAGTGCCACAGGAATGGCCAATGTCTAATAGGGAAATTCAGTAAATTCCAAAAGTGAAAAATCACAATGCTAATACAAATCAAGAGTTAATATTCAAGATCAGTCAGTTATCTCAATGAAACTTATGTTGTTAAAGTTCTACTTCTCTTCCCTTTGAGCACACAAAACATATGAACTTCGAAATTCCAAAATATGATGTAAAGATGAATTTAATAGTCTAGCTAATTGGTATCATATATCTTAAGTCAAATTAAGATTGTTCAAAAAGCTGTGCCATTGTAGCTCATGATATACACTCCATGTACCCAACTTCAAGAGAAAGCATCCTTAATCTATGCATATTCATACATCAAGCAATCAACTTAGCATCAAATACCTACCACCACTGTTTTCATGCAGTAGAGACGTCATTTATTGAACTCTTGGCAAAATATAAAGATTTCATTTGGTCATTTAAGGCCCATTGTGACACTTATACTTTTTAAAACTGAAATATTACTACAAACTTGAGCTTTTATTTAATGATTGTTTTAGTATCTCCCAGAAGAGTATGAGGTTAAGTACAAAGCATGATGAGATTTCACCGCAACGTTTGTATCCAGGTAAAATTAGTTTAATCTGTTATGTTGGAATGAGGCACCATTCTGGGCTCTTCATAAGGCTCTAAAGATGTGGAGTTAAAGATGTTGTGAGATTTAGCAGTGTTACAACTCTCTGAATTATGAATTCTTATCTATTATGAGTTACTCAGAAACAGCCTGAATATAACTCCTCAGCATGCTCTTCCCTCTCTGTGGTTGATAAATAGTATTATTTGCACTTTGTATTGCTGGACCAGATGGCTGAATTAAACCTGAATCCTTTAGTTTATGGGCAGAGCTACCAGGAGCCCGGTGTTATGGACTAAATGTTTCTGTCCACCTCAAATTCATATATTAATATTTTAACTCCCAGTGTGATGGTATTAAAAGGTGGGGTCTTTGGAAGGTAATTAGGACATGAAGTTGGAGCCTTCAAGGTGGGATTAATTCCCCTTATAAGAGGAGACATGAGAGCTTGCTTACTCTCTCTCCTTTCCACCATGTAAGGATATGAGAAAAAGATGGCCATTTTCAAACCAGGATGAGGGCTCTCACCAGACACCAGATATGTTGGAGCTTTGATCTTGGACTTCCCAGCCCCTAGAATTATGAGAAATAAATGGTTTTTGTTTAAGCCATCCAGTCTGTGGTATTCTGTTATAGCAGCCCAAAGACCATGAATCTGGCATTCTAACATTTCCTAAAACAAAGATTGAGGGTTGCAGCAACAAGTCATCTCTCCTCTTAATTCTCCCTTCATTCCCTCTCAGGTATATGGGTTTTACTACAGTGTGTTGAGAATGGGATCCAAATAGGATTGTGGAATAGTAAGTTTGGGGTCCTTGGCCAAAAGCTTGGGTTAAACCTTTGAGACAAATTTAGGGCCCAGTTTTGCTTATCCCAGTCATGGTTCTTTGGTTGCCCAAATATAAAACCTCCAAAATTATGGCAAGCCAAATTGGTTCTTGCCTTTTTGTGAGTTTCATCAAAAATTTCAAAGACAGCAGCAATTATGAAAAGGAGTCCTGACCCTAAAATATATCAGTGTTTCAACCCTGAAGGAGAAAGGGAAACATTAAGATATCACCTGTCTTAGTCCATTTTCTGTAGCTATAGCAGAATACCACAGACTGGGTAATTTATAAAGAAAAGAAGTTTATTTGACTCACAGTTCTGGAGGCTGGGAAATCCAAGAGCAATGGCACCAGCATGTGTCAAGAGTCTTCTCATGGAGGATGGGTGGAAGGGGAAATTAGTGCATGCGAGAGAGAGCTCACTTTTACAACAACAAAGCTACTCCCACAATCCGTCCATGAGGGTGGAGCCTGTATGACACAATCACCCCCCAATGGCCCCACCTCTCCACACTGTTAGAGTGGGAACCAAGTTTCACATGAACTTTTAAAGAAGACATTCAAACCATAGCAGTACCTAATAGAGAACATGGGTCTTGGAGCAGAACAGCACCACTCAGTGGGATGAGCACTTGGTACCTGTTCTTGAGCCATCAATGCCCCCAGCCTTCTGTCCCCCTCTGCACACTGCCTCCTAAGCCATGACTTGATTAGGCTATTACAGCAGACTAGATCCCAGAAGATGCTTGTCTTAACAATGACTCTGGATGTCACTGTTTTAATGCAACTTAGAGCCTCTGCAATCATCAGTCAGGCAACTCTACTTCCTCCTTCTCGTCAGGAAGTGGGGCATCCAGGGAGCCACACTGAGGGAGGCTGTTCCTGTCTGCATCTCATCCAGTGGCCAGATGACTGGTAGCTTACAACAGATTTTTAGCACTGATGTAGTAGAGAAAGTTGACTTGGAGTCAGATCTGAATTTAAGTTCCACCTCTAGCACTAGGTTTATGACCTTGGGACGCTGCAATTATTTAGTGGATGTATATGAGATCACATTCCTACCACCACTTTCTCCAGGGCACTTGTACCCTCATACTGCCACCCTCCATCCATGTGGTTATGTGGAGCTGCCATGTTTTCCCATCCTGTCTGCCCTCTGGCTACTGATGTGTGGGTGGGAGTGGAGGACTTGACTCCAGATCAGGACCCTAGAGAACTAAATTCTAGTCCTACTCAGTGGCAGAGGTATAGAACTTGGTAGCCATTAGATGCCTTATTTGCCACTATGTGAAGCAATACATTTTGTAATAAAAAAAGAATGAAAATGATATCCAGAGAAAAACTGGGAGAAAAGAAATAGAGGCATCTTGGCTATTTTCATATTGCTGCTTATAGTTCTTAAGGCTCAACTGTATCCCTGCTGTTCTTACAGTTTGGTTATTTGATATCCATTTGTATCTCTAAGATATTAAATAAATAGTTTTGGTCAGAATTTCATCACTTGAAGTTGAGAATCCTGACTAAAACATGATCTGCTACTTATTGAATGGCCATTTTTTTCAGACATGGTTGGGTACTATATATATATATTCTTGTGATTTTACTTGACTTCAACCGAAAACATTCCAAGCTAGAAATTATAATCCCTACTTTGCACATAGGAAATTGAGGTTCAGAAAATGTATTAACTCACCCAATGTCATAAACTAATAATGTCAGGCTCTGCCCATGATGTGAATCTCAGTCAGTCTAATGCCTCTTTCCCCCACACTCTTATGCCTAATTAGGATGATTATTATTTACTTATCAAAAAACTTGAAGCATCAATAACATCATCACAGAATTTCTGAGAACCAAATGTATTATGTGTGCGAAGCCTCTTTGAAAACTGTAAAAGGAATGTACAACTGCTAAATACCATTACTGCTTTCGATAATATCTGATAGGATTGTTTCACTGCAAATCTAAATTAAAATGATATTATTGGAGAGAGTCATACTCTGGGCAAAGTTAGCAATATCTCTACTGAAGATGTTTCAGTCATTCCAGACTTGAAATTACTTTTTCTTTTTTTTTAACATCTGCTTCTGCTAATAGCTTTTGTCAGGAATGAAGAGATCAGCTTATCAATGCTGTTTATGTGTCCCTGGTTTCTTGCTCTCCTGCCTCTTTGGTCTCATTTGCTTTCTTCTTGTTCCCAGTCATGAATGTACAGCCTTGCTCTGTGATTTGCTCCATGCCCAGCTATCCTACTCCCAGGATGCTGTTACACACTATTCCAAGTTCTCAGAGTCGCTGGAAGAGTGGATTCTGGACTCAGCCAGACCTGCTCTAAATACTGCATCATCTCTTACAAGCTGTGTGATCTGTGTGATTACAAGCTAGAGAATGTCTTGAAATGAGCCCAAGGAACAACAATGTGAATGACTGCTGACCTGTGATCAGAAACAATGGAGGCAGAAGTCAGAAGAATGACATCTTTAGGGCCAAAGAAAAAAGATTGTCAACCCAGAATTCGATAGCCAAAAAATATATAGTTTACCTTAGCTTTATTAGGAAGAATGATCCCTCCGTGTCTAGTTTTCTGTTCTGGACATAGGGTCAATGTCGATACTGACTTCATAGTGTATTGGGAGGTAACACATATGAAGTGCGTATTATAGATGCAGGCTAAATGTTTATTTGTTGATGTTGTCATACCATTAGCTATTGTGTGATTATTCTTTTATCTTTTGCATCACTCTTCAGCCCCTGGAGTGTCATTTCTCCTGAAATTTCTCCTCTCCACTCTTTCTGCATTCTGTGGTCCACATTACATTCTCTCCTGGCCACTTTCTTCTTGCTGTGGGTCTGCAAAACTGTGCTTTCTCTCCTGTTAGGTGCTCCTGCTGTTTTCTCTAAACCTGTAACTCTCTGCTATGTCTCTAGAATTCCTTGTGGTGCTTCAGGCTTTGGCAAAAGCTCAACCCAGTAAATTCCCATGACTGTGTTTTAGTTACTGTGGGTTCACTTCATGATGCAGGGAGCTATTTATTAGTTGCTATTTGCAATGGCAATATGGTGGAGTGTGGAAGTATTTTGACTTCACATTGAAAGATACAGTTTCAATGTCTGGGTCTGCTCTTAACTGGGTGTGCTGAACTTAGAAAATTTACTTAGTCTTCCTGAGTCTACAAATAAAACAGAGATGGTAATCCTGTTGACATTTGTGAGGATTAAATAAGATAATGTGTGTTAAGAATTCTTTGTACCACATATAGATTATTTATTATTCTTTTGGAATAAACCATTATTTTGGAGAAAAGAATACTGTTCTAGGAGAAGCCACCAGGAAAACCACATCTCTAAGAAACAAAACAAACACACTTTTTCTTCACAGTGCTTCTCATGACCTAACTTTAAAGTGTTTTACAACTCACAGCAAAGTCACTGTATTTTCTGCTTCAAAGAGTGTGAGCAGATTCCTCCTGGGGCAGAAACAATTTTGCCTTTAACCCTTTTCCACTTGTCTCCTCTTTCAAGGTTGTTAGTTTAAAGTCTTTGCTAAACTGTAATATTTGCATTTCTCTTTGGAGAACTCGTGTACAGAAAAATCCATGTTAGTTTGGATTCATTTAATTTGGAATTCAGAATAATTATAGGTAATGCTTACATATAGTTTACCTTAGCTTTATTAGGAGGAACGATGCATGAGTCCACCGAGATGAGGATTTTCTTCCCTCTCTGCCTCCTCTGAGATAGCAAGACTAACCCCCTTTTTCTCCTCCCCAGCCTACTCAATGTGAGGACGATGAGAATGAAGACCTTTTGATGATCCATTCCCGCTTAATAAATAGTAATTATATTTTATCTTTCTCATAACTTTCTTAATTTTTTTTCCGTAGCTTACTTTATAGTAAGAGTACAGTATAGTAAGAGTATACATCTAACATACAAACTATGGGTTAATTGACTGTTTATGTTATCAGTAAGGCTTCTGATCAACAGTAGGCTATCAGTAGTTATGTTTTTGAAGAAGTCAAAAGTGATATGCGTATTTTCTATTGCATACGGAGTCAGTGCCCCAACCACTGAATTGCTCAAGGATCAACTTTATAATAATTATAATAATATAATATATACAACATTTAATTATAATACAGCTAATATATAATAAACATGTTATCTATGTAGTAATTATATAGATATATAATACAGTAAAAACTGTTATCTAATAATAGTATAAAATATGTAAATGAAGTGACTATTTTTGCATATTTTTCACAGGTAATTTGAAAACATGTCTTTAATACTAATAGCTGGTACTATATAACAAGCATGGTTCTAGATGCTTTATATAAACTCACGTACCAAAAAAAAATGACTTGATGATTTTAAAACATTCTTATCTAGTTATTAAATTGCAGGAGAAATTTAAGCAGGTTAAATAAAAAGAAACCCACAACTAGGTGCATGGTGGTCAAGCTGCTGAAAAATAAAGATATAGAGAAAGTCTTGAAATGAGCCCAAGGAACAACAGTGTGAATGACTGCTGACGTGTGATCAGAAACAATGGAGGCAGAAGACAGAAGAATGACATCTTTAGGGCCAAAGAAAAAAGACTGTCAACCCAGAATTCGATAGCCAAAAAATATCTTTCAAAAATTGTGATCATTGCTGGTGGAAATGCAAAATGATGTAGTAACTTTGGAAGACAGTTTGGTGGTTTCTGACAAATCTAAACATACTTTCATCATATGATTCAGCAATCATGCCCTTTGGTATTTATACAAATGAAGTGCAAACTTATATCTACACAAATACCTGCACACAAATATTTGTAACAGCTCTATTCATAATTGCCAAAACATGGGAGCAACTAAGAGATCGTTCAACAAGTGAATGAATAAATGGTCACACATCCATACAATAGAATATTATTTAATGACACAAATAAATGACCTATAGAATCACCAACAGACATGAAGGAAACCTAAATGCATATTGCTAGGTGAAAGAAGCCAGTCTGAAAAAAATCCCATAGTCTATATATTAAGGTTCTACAGAGAGGCAGAACCAATAGGCTGTGTGTGTGTGTGTGTGCACACACGTGCGCACAATGATTAATTACAAAGATTTGGCTTACATGATTATAGAGACTGAGAAGTTCAAGATCTGCCATTGGCAAGCTGGAGACCCTGAAGAGCCAATGGTATAGTTCCAGCCTGAGTCCAAGTTCAAAGGCCTGAGAACCAGCAAAGCTGATGATGTAAGTCCAAGTCTGAATCTGAAGGCAAGAAAAGAACGATGTCCTAGCTTGAGGACAGTCAACCAGACTGTCCTCGAATCAGCCAATTCTCTCTTACTCAGCTCTTTTGCACCATTCAGGCCTTCAACAGATTGATGAGGCCCACCATCCCCAGGGAGGAAAATCTGCTTTACTCACTAATCTCATCCAGAAACACTCTCAAATGTACCCAGAATAATGTTCAACCAAATATCTGGGCACCCTGTGGCCCAGTCAAGTTGACACACACAATTAACCATGACACTGCATGATTCCAACTGCATAACATTCTGGAAAAAGCAAAGCTATCAGAATATTAAAAAGATCGGCAGTTGCCAGGGACTCAGGGGAATGGAGAGAGAAAAAAATATGTAGAACCCAGTGAATTTTTTTAGGGCACTGAGACTCTTCTGCATGCACTACTGGTGGATATGTGACATTGTGTATTTGTCTAAACCCATAGAAAGCACAGTCCCAAGAGTGAACCCCAATGTAAACCATGGAGTTCAGCTAACAATATTGGCTTATCAACTGTAATAAGTATACTGAAATAATGTGAGATGTTAATAAGAGGAAAAACAAAGGAGAGGGAAGATAATTTATGGGAACCCCTGTACTTTGTGCTCATTTATTCTTTAAGCCCTAAAACTGCTCTAAAAATTCAAGTCTATCATTTTTTTAAAAACCTAGGTGAAATGAAACATTTTAAGATTAAAGAAATGCTAAAATTCCTCAGATTTAATAGAAATGGTTCCAAATAAAAACTCAAGTGTTTTGGAAGAAATGAAGAGTGCTGGAATTCATAAACATGTGGGTAAATATAAAAGATTATATTTCCCCCTTAATTTGTTTTCCTAATGACCTCTATTAGTCAACATAATATTACCCTGAGGCTAGTTAATATGAATATGAGAGAAAGATGGAAATTAATTTCTGAAAAATACTCAATAATTTATATTTTATAATTAAAAAAACTTTCTCAAATTGAATTTATGAAAGTTCATTAAGACAGTATTATGATGCTGCTTGGAAAAAAATAGATTGAAAAATATCGGCTGTCAATCTGAGTTTTGGTTAATTCAGTCTGGCTTATTCTGGCGGCCATAGGAGTGGGCCTCTCAGGCCTCTGCAACAGAGAAACTGCCAAAGAGGATTGTGATCAGCCTGTAGCCTCCAGCCTCCAGCTGCAGCACCTTCAGGATCCACTCCAACACTCAAGCTAAGAACACGAGAACAAGCTTTCCTGAGCAGCTATGGCTAATGACAGAGGGTGCTATGGTTTGGATATGGGTTTTTTTGCCCCCACCAAATCTCATGCTGAAAGTTCTTCTCCAGGGTAGCATTGTTGGGAGGTGGCACCTAGTGGAAGGTGTTTGGGTCATGGGGGGTGTATCTGTCATGAATAGATTAATGCCCTCCCTTGGGGTGAATGGGTTCTCACTCTATTAGTTCTCAGGAGAGCTGGCTGTTGAAAAGAGCCTGGCAACTCCCCTTCTCCCTTCTTGCTTCCTCTCTCACCATGTGATCTCTGCACAGTTGGCTCCCCTTGGATTCCTCCATGAGTGGAAGCAGCCTGAGGCCCTCACCAGAAGCTGAGCAGATGCTGGGGTGCCATGCTTTTTGTAAGCCTGCAGAACTGTGAGCTAAGTAAACCTCTTTTCTTTACAAATTACCCAGCCTCTGGTATTCCTTTATAGCAACGCAAAGCAGACGAAGACAGGGCGGGAGGTGGAGTGGGGGAATAGAGGGCTGTGGGGAGCAAATAAGGTCTGGTCTTATAGGTCACAGAAGGGACTTTGGATTTAATTGTGAATGAGATGCACAGTCCCTAGGGGATTGTGAACAGAGAAGACAGGCATATTTTAACAGGCTCCCAGCTGCTATGTTGAGAATACAGGATGGACAGGCAAAGCCATGCTCCCCCTCAGGGCCTCTGTCCTAGCAATATCTTCTGCTGAATGTTCTTTCTCCAGACATCAGCATCTGTAACACCCATTTTTTTTTCATGAATTGATCCCAAAGTTGTTCAGGTTGTAAATGAAGGTCCACTCCGCACCACTCTGATTTGTTTTTATTTGGGAGGTGGCACTTGGAGTGTTTCTTCACATCCTCCAAGCCCAGAAATGTATTAAAAAGTGCCCTCTCTCCACACCCAAACACGCTTAGCTGTTATGCAGCAGGAAGGCACTGCTTGAGAATCATCTGTACTCCTGGAAGCAGAATCTCCCTGGAATTTGTTATTTCCAGGTTTAACAATTCAAATAAGTCATGAGAGGCAGAACTTAAGCCATTAATGGCCAGTGCCAGTCAGGAAATTGGAACTGAATGAGCAAGCCAAGATTGGAATTGGAGAGTGATTCATTTGCTCCTTTACCAGGCTTGACACAGATAACCACAAAACAGGAGTCTGTACAGTGCAGTAGTTCAGAGTACAACTTCTGAAGTCAGTATCCCTGAATCCAAAGTTACAGGCTGGTATGACCATGGGCAAATCACTTGACCTGTCTGCATTTCAGTCTCTTCATCTATCACCCTGAAATGATAATAGTAAGTCTTAGGAGATGGGAAGATTAAGTGAGATAGTTTTGAGTTATTTCATGATTTAGCATAGTGACACAGAGAGTGCAACGAATACTACTTTCTAATTATCAATCACCTTTTAAAATGTAAAATGTTTTCCCTCTTGGGAAAGTGCTCAGAGCTTATCCTTTAAGGACATTTTATTAATTTCTGCCTTATGTTTACACAGATTATTATATTGTAATTATTGTGTTGTTACTGCCTTTACCTAAAAGGTAAATCTTCCTTTATGTAAGAGCAACTGGTATTTCTGTAAGAATAGCAGGGTGTGTGGAAGGCTGGGTATGTGCTCTCTTAATTTTATCTGAGTCAGAGTAAAGGCTCATGACCATCCAGGCATGGTGGCTCACACCTGTAATCCCAGCACTTTGGGAGGCCAAGGCTGGCAGATCATTTGAGGTTGGGAGTTTGAGACCAGCCTGACCAACATGAAGAAACCCCGTCTGTACTAAAAATACAAAATTAGCCAGGCATGGTGGTGCATGCCTGTAATCCCAGCTTCTGGGGAGGCTGAGGCAGGAGAATAGCTTGAACCCAGGAGGGGGAAATTGCAGTGAACCAAGATGACGCCATTGCACTCCAGCCTGTTCAACAAGATTGAAAATCCGTCTTAAAAAAAAAAAAAAGGCTCATATGCTATGCTGGCTGCCCTATCCCAAAAATCTCTGCATCCTGACATGTGAGTCCAGATGCCAAAATGGAATTAAACATGCATGGATTTTATTAGGGGCAATTTCTGTGGGGAAGGATAAAAGGAGACAGAGAAGTTGGGAGAATTGTCTGAACAGTGATAGCAGTCTGATCCCAAATGAAAGAAAGAGAATGCAGAAAGGGTTGGTGTCAGTAAGTAGCCTAATGTGGCAAGGAAGTTCCGCAAAGGCTTCCGGAAGTAGTCAAACCAAAGGCAGTCTCCGGAGAAGCCTGTTCCTTCTTCTGAGCAACTGTTCCTGGCGCACGCAGCCATTGGCTGGGAGCAGCGATGGGGGCGTGGCTTCCAGGTAGATCTCAAAGAGCAAACCCTAGCTTGGTCAATGCGGGACTGTGAGGTACTTTTTCCTGGCCGCCACACCTAAGAGCAGGAAAAGAAGTAGCAAAATCATCCCAGTCTCATGTTGAGAATGGAAACAATCTGGTTGTTAAGACTGTAGTGTGTCTGTGTCCCCACATTTGTTAGCTGTGCTTATCCTTATTTTAACCAGGAGATTTAACTCTCAAACTCGTTACTTTTCATCCGCTCCAGTGGTACGCTTTTCTAATGAACTGATAGCTCGTCTTTAGAACCTGACAAAATGTTCTATGTTTGAGGAGACTTTCCATGATTTATGAAGACCTTGAACCAGTTCATTTATTTCACAATCATGCATTAAGCAGGTCCTGTGTGTGTGTGTGGTGGGCAGGAATGGTGGGTGGGTGACTGAGCTTCAAGGGCGAATGAGACACTGTAGTCTCTGCTCTCAAATTGGATATTGTTATATAGATTTATAATGTCTACTATTTCTCTCTTGGGGTATGATGGGCTTGGGACCTCAAAGATCTCTTGAAAGTTTATAGCATATTTGTAAAGAATGTAAAAAAAACTAGTTCCACACAATCAAAAGTTTGATTTTTACTTTTTCTCACTGAAAAGTCTTGGCAAAGTTGAGGGTAGACTGACCATTCTGAGCTTTGTCTACCTCAGGGGTCCTCCCTGAGTTTCGGCTTCTCTGATAGAGGTCCATTTCTCTGGACTCTGATCTAATTTGCTGACAGGTTTGATGTGACTTACAATAATATTTACATCCCCCTTGTCAAGCCCTGTGTGCCCTGATTGAAACTCCAGTCACATTTTGATTAAGTTTAGCCTTTATTTATGCTATGTTCTCTCAAGGTGGAATTAATTATTTCTGGGGCCCCAGATGCCAAGATTGGCAGGACAATTGATGGGTGCTACCATTGCTTTCCTGTGGCCCATTCCTCGAGGGATGTATTTGTCAACAGAGAAGGAAATTTCTTCACCAGATTTATAGACAAGTGATCCTTAGTCTTGTGGAATGTAGTGAGTGCCATAAATCTTGGGAAAACTTTGCATATATCACTATCCTGGAGCCCTTAATATCCTTATGCCTTCCTGCTCACGAACAATATCACTCCTTGTGGTAAAATCCGAGTTATGCTCTCAGACACCACAATGTTGGTAGTGTAGAGGGTGTACCAGTTGTTTGAATCTGGTAATTAAGGTCCTGGAAACCTAGATTACATTTGGTACCAAAAAGAGATTTCTTTTTCTTAGATATAGAAATCAAGGTCACTTACTCTGAACATCATAGAACTAAGAACTCTTTATTGCCTAATCCTGGTAACACTCCCTGATGTGGGACACTTGATTAGAAGTACAAATAAAGTCAAGAACCGGAGGAAGATTTTCATCCTCTAAGTGGGTCATACATTAATCATTCTAAGTAGTGAACTTCAATCTTGACAAATTGCTTCCTACCATGAAGTCTATGGGTATATTCCCAACTGTTTGGAACCACAGTGGGGTCAAACCAATTATTTTAGAGAACATTTCTCCACCCTCACCCTTCATTATAGATATTTTCTCTTACTAGACATTCCATTTATCATATGTAAGAGTACTTCATCATGAATTGAAGTCTGAACTCATTAGGCTTCCATTTTTATGAGGGGCAGGTGACTCGAGGTTAGACTAATCCTTCATTAACCATAATTATACTTCGTATTACACTATGGGGATTGTATGTGATGACTGACAGTTTTATTCCAGCTTTGACCTTTACTTAGTGGACAGGAGTTGGTGGTAGGCTCATGTATATGGGGTCAGTTATGGATGCCTGGCTCTAAATACTTACAGACAGATTCAGGACCACTGAGAATGGCTCTGGTAAATCCAGTAATGCTCTAAGAGAGAGGAATATGAGGAGGGTTAAAAGAGGGAGAGGGGCCAGCAGCCCAGCACCTGGTCAAGGACTGAGGAGAAAGGCTAGCCAGAGAGAAATTCCCAGAGGGGATGGGGATGTCTAAGGAAATTTCCCCAAGTGCAGTGTCTGGATTTTTTGTTGTTCCCTGCCCTGTGCTGTGTTCTTCTTGTACCAACCCCACTTCCTAGCTGAGACCTCCAAACCTGAAGGAAAGTTCCAGCCAGGACATCCTTGTGTCAAAGCATGAAGGGAAGTTGAGGGACAAGCAATAAAGGAAGGTGTCATCTTGTCTGCACCACTCTGCCAGCATGCTAAAATATCTTCCACATGCCAGTGGGAGTTCTGGGGCAAAGCAACATCAAGGATTGTGGCCCATCCTCTCCTTAGGCAGCATCAGAAAATGTGAAGCCTGGAAGCGATGATTTATGTTGGTACAGGTCCTCACTTTGCATGGATGAACTCGGAGAGAGGGGCCTTTGTTAGAGCTGGGCTAAATCAGGTGTCAATTTCAAGCTCTGGAAGATGTTGCATTGTCTCCCCGACATCTCCAGATCCTAGAGCTCTGGCTGTTCAGCTCCCATTCCTTAACCTATGCTTCTCTGGAGAAACTGGGCTCAAGGATGTCAAGAGCGATTTGTTTTTAATCCATCCTCTCCCTAACCCTCCCATTCATTTCCTCGAAAGTCTGAAGGTAGTTGGCATTGTGAATTTACCATTCTAAGTAGAGTGACATATATTCGTTAGGTGGTTGTAAAGATCTACAATTTGACAAATATAACTTAAAATAATGGTACCTGCTGAGGTACCACATAGACCTTAGAGGAAATTTGGGCATGAATCAAATTCGTAACTGACTGATCAGTTTGTCAATTCTGATCCTGCTGGGGGCAGTGACTTAGAGAGCTGGCACCTAAATTCCACAGGGTTGTCTCAGAGGAGGAAGATGTCATGAAAGGTAGCTGGTGGCCACTGAAAACATGAATTAAACGTGGCTGGTAGTGGAGAGTGGCTTCTTTTCATAGAGGGAGCAGGAGGTGGAAAGCAAGCACCAGGATCTTGAACACAAGAATATGTTGTTCTTGACTAAGCAGAGGTGTCTGTGAGGGAAGGTGGAAACACAGGCCATCTTCTGGGCCTCTGGACCTATTGACTTGTCCAGAATTGTCCATCCTTACCTTCCATTGGCACAAATCAATGGTGGCTCTGCCGGGAGGTATTTGTATACAGTATTCTTTAGTGGGTTACTTTGTTAACTGTTGCCCAGCCAACTGAGCAACCCTGCTTCCTGTGATTCTTTTTCCAAGCCAATATCATAAATACCATTGTCATTAGGGATTTGAGTTATTCCCATTTTTTATTTTCTTTGTTGTATCGTTACCATTCTAACTTTTAAAAATTGTGCATGTGGATTTCTCCATTTTAGACTGATGGAAATAACATAGGCTTTAGAAAGTGATTCGTATTTAAAAGCCACTGCCACTAACATCAAAGTGCTTTGAAGAAGTGGTTTGACTGATTTCCTCATTGGTGGAAGTCAGAGGTCATATATAACCATTTTTAGAATAGTTATGTCAGTTCGGGGAGATTGTGGATATGAAAGTTCCAGGTACATAACCAGCTCTTAATAAACGCTGTTTTCCCTCACCTTTTTCATCTATCTGCTGAGTTTCACATTGCAGAAACAATTCTTGACCTTGGTATCTATCCATGAAGCTTAGACCATGGGTTGGCAAACAATGGCTTGCCACTTGTCTTTGTAAATCAAGTTTTATTGGAACATAGTCCTACCCATTCCTTCTGTATTATCTATAGCTGCTTTCATGGTACAAAGCACAGTTGAGCAGTTGTACCCCGGGTTTTATTTTCACAAAACCTAAAATATTTACTATCTGGCCCTTTGCAGGAAATATGTGCAGACCCCTGGCTAAGTGCAGTGCTACAGCCAATAGGAACCTGGCTTAGTAACAGAATTATAGATAATACATTTCTCCTATTTACCTACACTTTCCTCAACTCACACTTAATATATCTACTTAAATTTGTATGTTGGTTAATTTTCCTTCTCTCTTTTTTCCTTACCCAGGAAGGTTAAACTTATTTTCAGACACATATTTATATAGCTGCTTTTTAGAAATAAAAATTGTTGCAAGATATTTATAACCAAGGTCATATTCAGAATTTGTTTCCTCCTCAGGTAGAGGAGCACATTTTTGACAAGTTAGTTTTAAGCTATGTCTTTCAACAGCTTCAGTGGAGTTCAATTTCTGGATGTGTGTGGCTGTGGATGGGGAAGATCATCTGAGGATGGAGATTATAAATGCTCATGATTATTTGTCCATTAGTGTTGAAATTTTGCTGAACAATCAGCTGTGTTTGTACAGTTTATCACAAGGAACTGAATCTGAGTGAAAAGGGAGTGTTGAGAGTTGCTAATCTTTCCTTTGCCTCAATATCAGCTCCTCTTCCCTCAGGTGCTACCACATCCTCTCCTTTTAGAAAAATTAACTTGCCATCATAGCCACTGAAAGGAACTGGGCTGACATCTCCATGAGCATACTGTAATCTAGAGGTTTGGTAAACATTACACCATCTAAACCCTACTACAATGCTAGGAGGTCTATTTATCTTATATATTCATTTATATATGCACATATGTTATTTATTTATGCTATTATTGAGGAAACAAAATTTCCTTCAAAGTCACACGTGTTGTAAATGACAGAACCATGATTCTAACCCTGAATGAGTGACTCCAAAGCCTGGCTCATTCCATGACTACACACACTCTGAAATCTTAACATACAGGACTACCTGAATTGATGCCTCACAGGAAGGATAGTGGCCCCACAACCTTCTCAGTCTTTTACCATTTGGGCCTTGCTCTTGTTCACTTTGTGCCACGAGGAATCTTAGAGGTTGCCTATTCCAACCTCTGGCACACCAGAGGGATCCCCTGTCCATAAACAGGTCAAGATGCAGAGCCCATAACTTCATAAGCCAGTCCAATCCACTCCAGGGGAAGTCTCTGTATTAGTCCAGGTTCTCTAGAGGGACAGAACTAACAGGATAGATGTATACATGAAAGGGAGTTTATTAAGGAGTGTTGACTCACATGATCACAAGGTGAAGTCCCACAATTGGCCATCTGCAAGCTGAGGAGCCAGTCTGAGTCCCAGAACTTCAAAAGTAGGGAAGCTGACAGTGCACCTTCAGTCTGTGGCCAAAGGCCTGAGAGTCCCTGGTAAACCACTGGTGTAAGTCCAAGAGTCCAAAAGCTGAAGAACTTGGACTCTGATGTTTGAGGGCAGGAAGCATCCAGCATGGTAGAAAGATGGAGGCCAGAAGACTCAGCCAGCCTAGTCCTTCCGTGTTCCTCTGCCTGCTGTATTCTAGATGCACTGCAGCTGATTAGATGGTGCTCATCCAGATTGAGGGTGGGCCTACCTCTCCCAGTTCACTGACTCAAATGTTAATCTTTGGCAACACTCTCACAGACACACCCAGGAATAAGACTTTGCATCCCTCAATCTAATCAAGTTGACACTCAATATTAACAATCACCAACTCTTTATATTAATTACGGTGTTTGTGGCAAGATTTATTTTTTAGGCTCCCTCGTTTCATACATTTAGTCTCATTAAATCCTCAGTACAATCTTGTGAAGAAAGCAGGAGTTATTTTTTCCATCTAGTAAGTGTTGATTGTAGGAACGATGGACGATGGACTCCAAAACCAGCACCCCAGGCCCCACTCACTGTCTCTCATGTCAAGCCAGCATCTGTACTATAATCCCTGCCTCCTCTCCTGTTACTTTGGGTGAATTGTGTTTCTGTCTAAAACCAGCCCTTCCATCTGGGCGCTAGATCCCTTCTTTCTCACCTTTTCAAGTACGTCATTCCAACTAATCTTCTCTCTTTCTTCTGCACCATTGATTTTCTCCTCTGTACCTGGGCACTGTATCAGCATACAAATACGCTGCTACATATGGAAGCTTTAAACAATCCTCACTAGGCCCCCTGTCATGTTCTAGCTGCTTCCTCACTTTCTTTCTCCATGACACTTCAACAATTGATACTCATTGACTCTAATTCCTTATTGCCTAATGCTTCCTTCTTAAATATTTTTAAAAGGCATTTAACATAAAGACAAATGTTTTGTCTAATGTATCTAGCAATATAGTCCAGGCAGTATACAGAACATTTTCATCATCCTCCAAAAATTTTCTTATGTTCCTCTCCATTTAATTTCTTCTCCACTAGAGGCAATTGAGGTTCTGATTTCCATCATCGTAGATTTGTTCCACCTATTATTGAATTTTATACATGAGAAATTACACAGTATGGGTTCTGTTGTGTCTGGCTTCTTTGTCCAACACAGTGTGTTTGAGATTCATCCACATTGCTCATGCATCCGTAGTATGTAACAGTTTTATTGCCAAGTATTTTCTCATTAATGATTATTAAAATCCATTCTGCTATTGATGGACATTTTGGTTTCTTTCCAGTTTTTCACTGTTGTGAATAAAGCTTCTATGAACATTTGTGTATAGATCTTTTTGTGGACATATATGTTTTTCATTTCTCCACGATAAATATATTTAGGAGTGGAATTGTCTAATCAGAGGTATGTTTAACTCTATCAGAAACTGCCAGCTGGGTGTGGTGGCTCACACCTGTAATCCCAGCACTTTGGGAGGCAGAGGTGGGAGGACTGTTTGAGGCCAGGGTTCAGGAGAAGCCTGGTCAACATAGCGAGACCCCCATCTCTATTTTAGAAGATAAAAAAAATTAAAAGGAAACTGCCAACTCATTTTCCAAAGTGGTCATACCATTTTACATGCCCATCAGAAATACATACATTCGCAATTAATATCCTTTGTTTGTTTTTTAACAAATTTTGTGTTGTGTGGGCATGAAATAATATCTAATTATTGTATCAATCTGCATATACCTGATGTCTAAAGATATTGAGCATCTTCTCATGGGCTTACTGGCCATTTGTATGTTTCCTTTGTGAAATATCTTTAAATCTTTTGCTGATTAAAAAATATCAAGTTGTTTGTCTTATTGAATTATAAGTTATATTAGGTTTCCATTGATGTATGACACATTACCAAGGTCTTAGCAGTTTAAACAAGGTGCATTAATTTTTATTTTTTTGAGACAGTCTCACTCTGTCGCCCAAGGCTGGAGTACAGTAGCATGATCTCAGCTCACTGCAACCTCCACCTCCAAGGTTCATGTGATTCTCCTGCCCCAGACTCCCAAGTAGCTAGAACTACAGGCACATGCCACCACGCCCGACTAATTTTTGTATTTTTCATAGAAATGGGGTTTCACCATGTTGGCCAGGATGGCCTTGAACTCCTGGCCTCAAGTGATCCGCCTACCTCTGCCTCCCAGAGTGCTGGGGTTACAGGCATGAGCCACTGTGCCTGGCCCACAAGGTGCATTTATTATCTCATAGTTTCTGTGCATCTGGAGCCTGAGCATGATGGCTGAGCTGGGTTCTCGGCTCAGAGTGCCACAAGGCTGCAATCAAGGTGATGGCAGGGACTGGTTTTGTATCTGGAGCTCAGTGTCCTCTTCCAAGTTCATTCAGGCTGCTGGCAGAATTCAGTTCCTTGTGGTTGTAGGACTGAGAACCTCAGCTCCCAGAGGCCAGCCCTCTGTACAGATAGTTATGACATGACAGCTTGCATCTTCAAGGCCAGGAGGAGAGAGAGGATCTCTCCTGTTTTGAATCTCTTTTAAGAAGCTTACCACTCAAGGCAATCTTCCTTTTGATTAAAGTCAGCTGATTTTTGGCTTTAATTAAATCTGCAAAATCCTTTCATTTTGCCATGTACTGTAACATAACCACAGGAGTGGCATGCATCATATTCACATGTATAATTTCCTCCCCTTGGGTCTACCACACTCATATATGCCCATAGAAGGGCATATACACCTGGGGGCTGGAATCCTGGGGAACATGTTAGAATATCATATAAGAGATTCTTTTACACACACACACACACACCCTGAATTTAAGTCCTTTGCCAGATATGTCTTGCAAGTATTTCTCCCTGACTCTAGTTTCAGTACTTATTTGCTTAATGGTGCCTTTTGATGAGCATACGTTTTACATTTTAATATACAGCAATTTATCAAACATTTTTCTTCTATAGTTAGTGATTTTTATCGCTTAGAAATATTTACTTTCCCATGTATTGTAAAGATATTCTGGTTTTTTTTTTTTCTAGAGGCTATGTAGTTTTAGCTTTCATATTCGGGTCTATAATCCAGCTAAAAATGAGAGGGATTGTATGTAATATGAGGTAGGGGTCAAGGTTCGTTTTTCCCTCATATGCATAGACAATTATTCCAGCACAATGTATTAAAAAGATTTTCCTTTCACCACTGGATTGCTTTGTTGGCTTTGCCAGAAAAAGAATCAGTCTTTCTTGGATTCTTCATTTTGTTCTAAGGATCTATTTGGCAAACCTAATGTCAGTGACACACTCTTGATTAGTCTTAGTGTAAATTTGGAATCTGATAAAGTCCTCCAACTATTTTCACCCCTTTGAGGATTGTTTTGATAACATCTAAACAATCTGTTTAGATTGTTTAGGAAGCTTCTGTTCCAAGCTTTTTCATGGGCACCAGAGGAGACAAACCTGGGAATGGGTGGGAACTCTTTTTACATCTGTGACTCCAAGGGTTCCATACTCTTATGCCAGCCCACACTTCCTCTTTAGCCATTTGTTTAAAATGTTAGCTTCTTATTCAGTTGCATGGTTCCCCTGGCTCTTCCTCCTACACAGATAAGCCAGCTCACTCCTTGTCTCCAAGAAGACAGGGGACTCCCTTGTTCTGAGATTTCAGGCTACTTTACTGTTAGCACAGCTCTCTGATGGGCTCAAAAAATGTGATTATGTAGTTTGTCCAGGTATTCTTGCTGTAAGACTGGGAGCAATGCTCACGGGGTCTATAGTGATGTCTCCTCTCATTCTTGATATTGATCATTTATCCTGATATTTATGCATACATACTTTTTCTTGATCAGTCATTAATCTTTTCAAAGAAACAACTGCCAGCATTTCTTGTTTTCCTCTGTTGCTTATCTGTTTTCTGTTTCACTGATTTCCACTCATATTTCATTATTTCTTTCCTTCTACTTGGAGTTAAATTTGTGGTTTCTTTTTAGCTTCTTAACATGAAAGCTTAGATCATTGATTTTGAATCCTTCTTCTTTCTTGAGATAAACATTTATAGTTCTAAGTTTCTAAGAACTGCTTTAGCTTCATCTCACAAAATTTAATGTTTAGTTTTATTATCATTCATTTTAAAATAGTTCCTAATTCTGGCCGGGCGCGGTGGCTCACGCCTGTAATCCCAGCACTTTGGAAGGCCGAAGCGGGCGGATCACGAGGTCAGGATCGAGACCATCCTGGCTAACACGGTGAAACCCCGTCTCTACTGAAAATACAAAAATTAGCCTGGCATGGTGGCAGGTGCCTGTAGTCCCAGCTACTCGGGAGGGAGCCTGAGGCAAGAGAATGGCGTGAACCCGGGAGGCGGAGCTTGCAGTGAGCCGAGGTCGCACCACTGCACTCTAGCCTGGGTGACAGAGCAAAACTCTGTCTCAAAAAAAAAAAAAAAAAAAGTTCCTAATTCCCTTATTTCTTCTTTGACCCATCAATAATTTAGAAGTGTGTTCTTAATTTCCAGATATTTAAAGGTTTCCCAGATGTCTTTTGGTTATTGGTTTCTAATGTAATTCTCTTTCGGTCTGAGTACATAACTTTTTTTTTTTTTTTTTTTAGACGGAGTTTCACTCTTTTTGCCCAGGCTGGAGTGCAATGGCACGATCTTGGCTCACTGCAGCCTCCACCTCCCGGGTTCAAGCAATTCTCCTGCCTCAGACCCCCAAGTAGCTGGGATTACAGGCGAGTGCCACCACACCCGGCTAAATTTTGTATTTTTAGTAGAGACAGGATTTCTCCATTTTGGTCAGGCTGGTCTCGAACTCCTGATCTCAGGTGATCTGCCTGCCTCGGCCTCCCAAAGTGCTGGGATTACAGGCGTGAACTACCGTGCCCAGCCTGAGTACATACTTTCAAAGATTTCAGTCATTTGAAATTTACTGACATCTGTTTTAATATCCAGAATATGGTCTCAATTGGTGAACATTCCATGTGCACTTGAAAATGAAGTGTATTCTGCTGCTGTTGCATATATTTTATAAATATCAATTGGTTAACATTTGTCAGTGGTAGTGTTCAAATCTGCTATATCTTTGCTGGTTTTTTGTTGTCATTTTGTTGTTCCCATGTTTATCTCCTCCTTTTTCCTGCTTATTTTGAGAGATAAATGTTAAAATCTCCCACTGTAATTCTGGTTTTGTCTATTTTCAGTTATGTCAATTTTGGCCTGTAATTTGAAGCTCTGTTCTCAGGGACATATTTCATATTATTATGTCTCCTGATAAATTGACATTTTCATTATTATGAAATACCTTTCTTTGCCTCTGGTATTACTGCCTATCTGGTATTAATATGATGACAACCAACAACTTTCTTATGATTAGATATTTTAAGATATATCTTTTCACATCCTTTTATTTTTAGGTGCCTGTGTTTTTAAATATAAAGTGAATCTTCTGTAAACAGCATGTAGTTGGGACTTACTTTTCTTCAATCCATTCCAACAAATGCTACCTTTTAATTATATTATTTAGTTTATTCACAGTTAATGTTCTGCTGATACGGTGAGGTTTAACTCTACCATCTAGTTCTTTGTTTTTCATTTTGTTTGTTTATTTCCTAGTGAATTCTGGACCTTTCTTCTTTCTGAGATTTAAGTTGAAGGCTGGCCATTTAAGATTCCTCCTAGAGTTGCTTTGAGAGGATTGAGCGACAACTTCAGACATCTTTAATTCACCTTTGGATTCGGCCCCAACAAGGTTCTGGAATCTAAATGGCAGGAGAATGCCCGGCACCACATGACTCCTCTCTGCTCTGCAGGGCCTCCTGCACTGATGCTTTCCCTGAAAAATTTATGGTGCAATTGGGGAATGAAGCTAGGGATTGAAAAGTTAGGCAACTATTTTTTTTTTCTTTAAGGATTATTATTTTATTTTTAGAGGTGAGGCAGCACTCTGTTGCCCAGGCTAGAATGCAGTGGCACAGAAATAGCTCAGTGTAACGTTGAAAACCTGGGCTCAAGAGATCCTCTTGCCTCAGTAGCCAGGACCACAGGTGAGTGCTACCACGCCCAGCGTTTCTGTTTTGTATTTTTAGTCTCCTCCATATTCCAATCTGTCCCACCAGCCTACTCTGCAATCTAAGGTTTGACTGACTTTTTCTTGCTCTGCCAAGCGTCTCCCTTTGTGATAGAACTGCTCTTCTATTTGTCCAGACCAAGTATGAAAGCCACCAGGCTCTCTGACTTTCTTTGAATGTCAGCTTCTCTTTGGAATTCAATTCGTCAAGGCTTTCTTGTCTCAAAAGCTCTTTGCTAGGCCCATAGGAAAATATGATTATTATTTTTTCATGTTTTTCTTTTTGTTACCATGGGAACAAAGGTCTTTCATGTTCTTCTACCTGAAACTGGAAACTCTTCTTTGTTTCTTTCTTTTCTTAAACACACTCTAATTAAGCTTTCTTTCATTTGGAGTAGTTTGCTGAAACATCTTTTGTCAAGGCCAACAATGATCTTCATGTTGCCAAACCCAATGGTCAATTCATAGTCCTCATATTATTTTATCTGTTTGGCCATATGATATAGTTGACCACATACCCCTTCCTTAAACACTCTTTTCACCTGGCTCCTGAAACATCACTCTCTACTAATTCTCCTCTTATCTGCATGGCTTCTTCCGTGTGTGTGTGTGTGTGTGTGTGTGTGTGTGTGTACATCTCAATATTCCCTGCTTCTAATTATGGTGTGCCCCCAGTGTCACACCTCTTTTCTATTTATGTCCACTCCCTCGGTGATCTCATCCAGCTTCCTGGCTTGAAATCGCACTTTTATATGGATGACTCTTTGATCTCTGTTTTGAACCCGTATTTGTTCTTGAACTCCAGATTTCTATATCCAATTCCCTCCTTCATTTTACTCTCTAATATATCAGGTTCGTGTGAAAGTAATTCCAGTTTTGGCCATTAATACAACTTCATGTGCATCTTAAATGTAATATATTCAAAATTAAACTACTAGTTTTTCCCTCCAAAATCTGCTTTTTCTACATTCTCCCCCGAAGACTAAATGGCAACTTTCTTCTTTCAGTTGCTCAGATCAAAAGCCTTGAATTTCCACTAAATGCTATGAAACTTTGAGATGGAAAAGCATCAATTGGCAGAGATATGTCTCATATAATTCTTACTGATTATCCTTTCCTAGAAGCTAATGACTAGAATCTGAGGCAGGGACATGAGTCATACCAAACCTGGCTATGAATAACACCCTGTTGTCTTCCTTCCCCTTGTCCCTGCCTTGTCACCCCTCTGATTTAGTCTTTGACATTAGAGCTCTGCTTTCTTGGCACCTTTTTATCCTTTACTTCCCTGTTTCAAGCCACATAGGTCTCAGGAGTGGCACAAAATCTTGTCAGCAGATGCTATCATTGATAGCATAATAGCCACAGACTATTCTGATACCTGTGTAAGTTCTGTTATAGAAATAAGCCTAGGAGTAATTTGTAGCTGGGGACACATATTAGAAATTAAAATAGGCTGGGCGTGGTGGCTCACACCTGTAATCCCAGCACTTTGGGAGGCCAAGGCGGGCAGATCACCTGAGGTCGGGAGTTTGAGAACAGCCTGCCAACATGGTGAAACCCCATTTCTACTAAAAATACAAAAAAATTAGCCGGGCGTGGTGGCACATGCCTGTAATCCCAGCTACTCAGGAGGCTGAGGCAGGAGAATTGCTTGAACCTGGGAGGCGAAGGCTGTGGTGAGCTGAGATCATGCCATTGCACTCCAGCCTGGGCAACAAGAATGAAACTCCATCTCAAAAAAAAAAAAAAAAAAAAAAAAAAAAAAAAAAAAAAAAAAAAGAAAGAAAATAGAATGAAATCATGCCATCATTATCTAGAAAATGCTATGCAGATAAAAATAAACATAAGAAATCTCGTGAAAATATGTACAAAAAGTTTCTGATACATAAACACTGCTATTAGTTCCCTTTCTATTCCCTCCAGGCTGAAGCAGCAAGACTACAAACATGGCAGTCAAGAGACATGGGTTCTATCCTACTGTCTCTGACTATGTCACAGATGAGCTGTGTGAATTAAGATGTGCCACCTCCACTCAGTTGCTCAGGCCAAAATCCCTGAATTTATTTAAACTCTTCTTTCTCTAACAATTTGCATGCAACCCATTAGCAAGTCCTGTGGATCTATCTTCAAATTATAGCCAGAACTCTAGCACCAACTTCCCTGGTATCACCCTAGTTCAAACTGCCATCCTCTCTTCTCTAGGCTTCTATTTTTTTTTTTTTTTGTCCAAGCCAATACCTCCAGTATTACATAAGTCTATGGATTTTGTGAATCTGAGGTCCCAGAAGTTTTGATAGATTCTCACAAATAATAAAATGTGTGTCTGCATAGTTTATCTGCATGGCTTCTTCCGTGTGTGTGTATGTGTGTGTGTGTGCACATTCCTTCCAATCTTCCCTGCTTCTAATTATTGGTGTGCCCACAATGTCACACCTCATCTGTATTTCTTTTCTTCCTACCAAAGAAAAGGTGCGCATGTGGGCACCTTTATATTATAAGCGGGATTCCACTCATAATGCATCCTGGGAATTCAGAGCCAGTAGCCAGGATGTGGGGAAATTGCTAAGGTCTGAGGGCTTGTGGTCATCTGAGCTGCTGCTACCCACAACATTTCTGACACTATTACCTGTTTGTTAGAAAGGATACAACGGAGCAACATCCAAATGGAAGAGATGCATAGGGCAAGGTGTGGGGGTGGGACATGGAGCTTCTGCGCCCTTTGGGGCACAGCACCTTCCCAGTACCTCAGTGTATTCACCAACCCAGAAGTCACTGAACCCTGTAGTTTAGAGGTTTCTATGGAGGTTTCATCACATAGCAAGACTGACTAAGTCATTGCTTATTGGTGACTAACTCAATCTGTAGCTCCTCTTCCCTCTCCACAGGTCAGGAGTGGGGCTAAAAGTTCCAACCCTCTAATCACACCTCGGTGTTTCTGGCCACCAGCTCCCATCACGACGCTACCTAGGGGCCCCAGCTATAGTCGACTCATTAGCATGTGGAAGATACTCATCACTCCGGAAGGGTTTTAGGAGCTCTATGTCAGGAACCAGGAACAAAGACCAAATATTTGTTTTTTATTACATCACAATGCCACATCCACAGATCTTCTTTCCCTGACACAGAGATTTGCTGGCTAAGCTATTCAATTTCATCTATTCTTGCAGACTTCGTTGTCTCATTGTTATGACAAACTGGAGCCAAATTTAAAAAATGTTTAAACCACATTTAGAAGGTATGATTTCTTTCTCTAAAAGGTATGATTTTATTTATTTAAGATGAAGCCAAAATTTTTGCAAACATGAGTTCCTCATGGTTATTGGCAGAAACACACAATCTTATCCTGACACGTAGGCCAGTCTCAAGCTTTCAAATAGGGCTGCAAATGGCCTCAGACTAATGTCTTTATTTCAGTTGTTAGCTGGCTTTATTCGTTAAAGCTGTTTTGGTTGTATGTCCATCACAGTAAGTTAGTTTATGCTACACTAGCAAACTACTTCAAAATCACAGTGGCTTATTGCAATAAGGGTTTAGTTCTTGTTCATGTTACTCACCTCTCTTGAGTCTGCTATCATCTCCTCCTGTTGGGAGTCAGACTGAGAGCAGCCACCATTGCCAATGATGTCCCTGTGCATGGTGGAGGGAGAGAGCTCTAGGTGGCCTTGAGATGGCAACAAAATGCTCTGTTCTGGAAGTGACACCTGCAACCTTAGTAACTCACTGCAACACGTTGTCTAGGGCCAGTCACATGCTGCCACTCAACCAAAAAGGGGCTACAGCAGCATGTGCAATCCTTTCATGTGGCCAACAGGTAGGAAGCTGGACTCCATGGTGAACAGCATTAACAAGTACCACAAGTTTCGAGTGACAGAAGCATATCAGCTATGGAAGCAGATGGAACAAAATAATGTTAAAGGGCCTACGAAGACAAAAGTGAGTGGACCTCAGGAAGCAGAGGATAAAACCGGCTCTCTGTCTCCTTTCTCTCTGCCTTCGTGTTTGTCTCCTTCATTCTTTTTTTCTTTCCATATTCTGACTTCTTCTAATTCTCAGGAACCCATGGGGCAACAGCCACCATCAGATTCTAGTTTTACATCTTGTAACCCAGGTACTTTATGAAAACTGGCTTTTTTCTTTCTGTTCCAGGTAAAAGACCCTGATTGACTGAACATGCCAGGGTCCAGTGACCATGACTGATCAAAACAATTCTTCCATATGGCAGAGTCATTTGGAAGAAAAGCAACAGCAACTGCAGTGGCCACATTAGTGTAAGCAGGAGCAGTTCTTAGAGGAAGAGGTTGTTTGGCAGACTAAATAAAAAATAAAACTTGTTTAATACAAACCTATTTGAACATTAGGAATGTAGAGAAATTCCCTGTGGACCTCAGACATAAGAGTGTAAAGAAAAAAAAAGATAGTTGTAAAAAATCAGTATGTGAGTAACTAATTTTTGTTCAGTTCTTTCTATTCTTTGAGGGGGAAGATTTCTATATTTACTGCAAAGAGGACTGAGTGACCTAATATTTGGCACCTTATGTGACAGACTGTAAATTCCACAAGGATCCACATCTGTATCCCCAAGTCTTAACATTTTGGTAAAAGATAAAATAGAACTTTAAGGGGAAAAAAATCTGAAGGCAAAAAAGGATCATTTTCAGTAAAGATCACCAGGGTAAAATAATAATTTTAAATTGTATTTACTAATAATATGACCTGAAAATGTATATAGCAGAATATAAATAAAGCTACAAGAAGAAATATGAAAATCCACTATCAGAGTGGAGATTTTTTAACACATTACTATCAGTAATTTATAAAACGAGCGGACCAAAAGTCAGCAAGCATATAGAATATTTAAATAACACATTCAGAAGCTGGAACTAATATACATATATCCGTATTGTACCCCACATTGCTGAATATATATTCTTTCTAAACACACATAGAATATTTTAAAAAATCAGCCATATATATATTGGACCTTAAATTTAATGTCTTAAATTTCAAAGGACTGAAATCAGTTAAGTCCCTCCCAATATCTTATTACAATGAAAACAAATCAGTAATCATTTGCAAAAGTAACATCCTCATATTTTGACAATTTAAAAGCACGCCCAGAAATAATACTTTGGTAAAATAAATATTAATACAAATCAGACTATATTTAAAAGTAAGCAATGAAAATGCTGTTATAAATTTGTATAGGATGCAGCTAAAGCAGGATGAAAAAAAGTATGATCTTGAACACTCGTAATACAAATCAGAGAATGAAAAGTAATGTGATAAACATCCATTAGGACTTAGAGTGGCAAAATAAAATACAATATAAAGAACAAAATAATAAACATAAATCCAGAAAGTAATATGATAAAATTAAATTTAAAATTGATGAATACAACAAAGCTAAAAAATGAGTCTTTGAAACAGCCCATGATAACTCTAGTCAAGAATAAAAGAGAGAATTCACAATTATACATACAGTATTAGATGTGAAAGGGAGTGCATAATTAATTATAGACGTTGCAGTCATTAAAAATACGGAAAAGGATATTATGATTTATATAAATGATATATAAAAAGAGTGTGTGCCAACATATTTAAATGAAATGTATAGATCTTAGAAAAATATGCGACCAAAAGTGACATAAAAATAAAAAAAAATGGTTTTGTAAACTTTAGTGACATTGAATTAATAGTAAAAAAAAAAAAGAAAAAAATCTTCCAGGCCAGGCACAGTGGCTCATGCTGGTAATCTCAGCACTTTGGGATGCCAAGGCAGGAGGATCGCTTAAGGCCAGGAGTTCAAGACAAGCCTGGGCAACTTAGCAAGACCCCATCTCTACAAAACAGAAAAACAAAAAAGTTAGCTGGGCATGGTGTCATGTACCTGTAATCCCAGCTACTTGGGAGGCTGGAGCAAGAGGATAGCTTGAACCCAGAAATTCAAGGCTACCATTAGCTATGCAGTGAGCTATGATCACACCACTGCACTCCAGCCTGGGCAACAGAGCAAGACTCAGTCTCTAAAACAAAACAATAAAAAAAATTCCCACTAAAAAATGTCTGCCATCACATGCTTTTCCCAGTGAGGTCTACATTTTAAAAGGTAGTAATTCCAACTGTGCAAAATCTCTTCCAGAGAATAGAAAAAGAGAAAAACATTCCTCAACTCATTTAACAAGGTTGATCCCATCTCAATACCAAAACCATACTTGAACAAATATGGGAAATGGAAATTAAAGACCAATCTAACTCTGAAGAGAGATGAAATAAATCACTATAATAAATGAGTACACAAAATCCAGCAATGTATAAAAAACATTGTATACGTATAATGCAGTAACATTTGACTTACAGAAATGTAAGGTTTATTAACTATAATAAACAATCTAGCACATTATCTAAAAAAAAGAAATGAGCATCAATAGATGCAGAATGATTACTAGAGAATATTCAATATCTATTCATGATTTCAAGTGCTCTTAAAAATTATAAACAGAGGGAGGCCAGGTGCGGTGGCTCACACCTGTAATCCCAACACTTTGGGAGGCCGAAGTGGGCAGATCTCCTGAGGTCAGGAGTTCAAGACCAGCCTGGCCAACATGGTGAAACCCTGTCTCTACTAAAAATGCAAAAATTAGCCGGCCGTGGTGGTGGGCGCCTGTAATCCCAGCTACTCAGGAGGCTGAGGCAGGAGATTGCTTGAACCTGGGAGGCAGAGGTTGCAGTGAGCTGAGATTGCACCACTGCACTCCAGCCTGGGCGACAAGAGTGAGACATCATCTCAAAAAAAAAAAAAAAGAGGGAAATTTTTTAATGCGATAAAAGGAACCTAAAACAAATACACAGTGTAATGGAAAGCATTATATTTAATGGTGAAACACTGATTGCATTCCCATAGAGATCAGGAACCAGACAAGAATGCCCACTATCATTTAGTCGCATTCAATGCTGTACTGGGGGTTCTAGTCAGTGCAGTTGAGGAAAAAGAAAAGTACAAGGTATAAAAATCAGAAATGATATGATTATGAACAGGGAATCCTAGATAATCTGCAAATAAATTATTTAATAAGAAAATTCAGCAACTTTGTTGGTACATAATCAATATACGAAAATGCATTACATTTCTATATGCCAGGAATAAATAGAAAATGAAAGAGAAAAGATACCATTTACAGTAACATCAAAAGTGTGAAATAGCCATGGATAAATCTAACAAAATATGTGCTTCTCATAAAGATAAAATTATAACACTTCATTGAACGTCATAAATAAACATGCTGTGGTTTTATGTAGGAAGACAATATTTTGAAGTCAGATCCACTCGATTATAAATTCAGTGCAATGCCACTCAACTAAACACCAATCAATATTTCATTGTAGACTTTTTTGTACTTGAAATACAATCATGGGCTGTATAATGACATTTTGGTCCAGGATGGACTGCCTCTGCCACAGTAGTTCCATAAGCTTATAATAGTGCGGCCAGGCATGGTCGCTCATGCCTGTAATCCTAGCACTTTGGGAGGCTGAGGCGGGCAGATTGCCTGAGCTCAGGAGTTCAAGACCAGCCTGGGCAACATGGTGAAACCCCGTCTCTACTAACATACAAAAAATTAGCTGGGCTTGGCGGCGTGTGCCTGTAGTCCCAGCTACTGGGGAGGCTGAGGCAGGAGAACTGCTTGAACCTGGGAGGTGGAGGTTGCAGTGAGCCGAGATTGAGCCACTGCACTCCAGCCTGGGCAACACAGTGAGACTCCATCTCCAAAAAACAAAACAAAAAAAATTAGAATAGTGTATCTTTACTGTACCTTTTCTATGTTTAGATATGCTGAGATACACAAATACCACTGTGTGGCAATTGCCTACAGCATTCAGTACAGTCACATGATGCACAGCTTTGTAGCCCTGGAGTAACAGGCTATACTGTATAGCCTAGGTGTGTAGTAGGTTACACCACCTAGGTTTGTGTAAATTCACTCCATGATGTTTGCACAATGACAGAATAGAGTAGCGATGCATGTCTTATAGCGTATCCTCATTGTTAAGTAATGCATGACTGTATACCATGGTGGATATATAGTCAGAATACTGGTTTAAATGTGATTTGAGATAATTGTTTTCTTCTGAGTATTACAAATTCATAGGTTCATTTGTTTCTATTGACATGAAATTTTAGTTTTTAAAAATTATTTTTATTTCCTGTTAATTTTTTTATTTTTTGAATATGTAACATATTAACATGGTTCAAAAGCAAAACATGTGTTTAAACATGTGCACAGAATTTTTTTTCTTTCATCTGCAACTACTTCCCACTTAGCACTTGGGGAACCAATTTCACTACTTTCTGGCTTTATGTTTCCATGCTTTCTTTTGCTATATTAAGTAGCTACAAACTGAAAAGAAGCTAAAGTCTAACACAGTGGGTTGAGTAAAAAATTGAAATACAGTCATACAACAAAATATTATTACCATGAAAATGAAGAGACTGCAGCAAGGCACATGAGCGTGGATGAATTTCACAAACATAATGGAGAAATAAGCAAGTTACAGGAAAATACAGCATGATTCCATTTATACAAAGCTCATAAATCAGTAAGACTAAGCAATATTTCTAAGGATACATAGATAGGAGATAAAACTATAGAGTAAAGCAGGGAAATGATTGCCTTGGGTGGGGAAAGAAGCTGATACAGTCTGGCTGGGGAATACAAGTGGGCAATGTTCTTTTGTCACAGGGTGGTGGTTACATGGGTATTTGCCTTATTTTTTATTTTTTAAATATACATATGCATTACAAAATGTTATTGTATATATTTAAGTTTTACAACATTAGGTTATAAGATACATATAGATAGTAAAATGGTTACTATAGTGAAGCAAATTAACATATCCATCATCTCAGTTATCCATTTTTGTGTGTTTGTTTTTTGTTGCAAGAGCAGCTAAAATCTACTCACTGAGCACGGATACCAAATACAATACACTTTTGTTGCCTGTAGTTCTTATGTTGTGCATTAATTCTCTAGATTTGTTCATTTTACATATATGCTGATATGTATCCTCTGACCCACATCTCTCCATCTCCTCACCCACTTGCCCATCCCTGATAACCACTGTTTTATTCCCTGTCTCTGTATACTTGATTTTTTTTTTTCAAGACAGTCTCACTCTGTCGCCCAGGCTGGAGTGAAGTGGTGCGATCTCAGCTCACAGCAACCTCTGCCTCCCGGGTTCAAGTGATTCTTGGGCTTCAGGCTCCCAAACATCTGTGACTACAGGTGCATGCCACCATGCCCAGCTAATTTTTTGTATTTTTATTTATTTATTTATTTTTGTATTTATGAGACAGACTCTCACTGTGTCACCCAAGCTGCAATGCAGTGGTGTGATCTTGACTCACTGCAGCCTTCACCTCCCAGGTTCAAGCAATCCTCCTGCCTCAGCCCCCCAAATAGCTGGGACTACAGGCATGCGCCACCACGCCCGGCTAATTTTTGTATTTTTTTGTGCATTGAGATGGGGTTTCCTCATGAGGTCCAGGCTGTTCTTGAACTCCTGGGCTCGAGAGATCTTCCTGCCTCAGCCTCCCAAAGTGCTAGGATTACAGGCGTGAGCCACTGTGCCCGGCCTTATTTTTTGTATTTTTAATAGAGATGGGATTTCACTATGTTGGCCAGGCTGCTCTCCAACTCCTGGCCTCAAGGGATCCACCCACCTTGGCCTCCCAAAGTGCTGGGATTATAGGTGCGAGCCACCACGCCTGGCCAACTTTTAAAAAGTATAGTCCTGTATGTATCACACACTTTCCAAGTTAAAAAAAGAATTGTAGTCCAAATATAACTTTTGGACTAAAAAATAGTTCATTTCTTACTAAACATTAAATTTCAAAGATAAGC